>NC_000003.12:194913570-195064569 GCF_000001405.40 Homo sapiens
CCCATTGGCCAATCACTGGCAAGAAGATGTGGTCTGGGACTAGAGATCGTGCATCCTCCCCAAGTCACATGAAAGGAAGAAGGCGTGGGAAGGGAAAGCAGAGGTACAGAAAGACAGAGGGGAGGAGGGGTGGGCACAGAGAGGACCAGGAAGGATTGTTATCAAACTTAGAATGGGGAGGGAATGGAATTCCCAAACATTCACAGATTCCTTTAACATGCTGTAGAATTAACTTCTTCTTGAACCTGTCTATGTGCCATCTCTTAGGGGAACAAACTCAAAAACTTTCCTCCTCCAGAGGATGTGGAGAAATAGGAACGCTTTTACACTGTTGGTGGGAGTGTAAATTAGTTAACCATTGTGGAAGACAGTGTGGTGATTCCTCAGGGATCTAGAACCAGAAACACCATTTGACCCAGCAATCCCATTATTGGGTATATACCTAAAGGATTATAAATCATTCTACTATAAAGACACACGCTCACGTATATTTATTGCAGCACCGTTCGCAATAGCAAAGACTTAGAACCAACCCAAATGCCCATCAATGATAGACTGGATAAAGAAAATGTGGCACATATACACCTTGGAATACTATGTAGCCATAAAAAAGGATTAGTTTATGTCCTTTGCAGGGACATGGATGAAGCTGGAAACCATCATTCTCAGCAAACTAACACAAAAACAGAAAACCAAACACCACATGTTCTCACTCATAAGTGGGAGTTGAACAATGAGAACACATGGGCACAGGGAGGGGAACATCACACACCGGGACTGTCGGGGAGTGGGGGCCTAGGGGAGGGATAGCATTAAGAGAAATACCCAATGTAGATGATGGGTTGATGGGTGCAGCAAACCACCATGGCACATATATACCTATGTAACAAACCTGCACATTCTGCACATGTATCCCAGAACTTAAAGTATCAAAAAAAAAAAAAAAAAAAAAAAAAAAAAAAAAAAAAAAAAAAAAAAAAAACTTTCCTCCTCCGTAGGTAAAGAAGGCATTCATTGTATTTTTCCACAGTGTCTCCTTTCACAGACATTTCTCAGTCGGCTGTGGTGAGATTTGGTCAAAACCTCAGCTTCTGTGCCTTTCACACACATTTTGTCTCTGTATACTTCAGAGTTCACCTTTTTGTCACTTTCCTGGGTTGTTAATCTACCCTGCCTTCTTAGATCTTCTCCAGCCTCCAGATTCTTCCAGATCTTTCTAAGGATACAGGGAGTCAACTTGCACAAAGAAAGTTCTCCCGGTCTGTGGCTTACCTTGTTGTTTTTTAAATGTGTCTTTCAAAGAGCAAAAGTTTGTAATTTTGAAGAAGTCTACTCATATCGTTTCTCATAAAATGTGCTTTCTTTGTTCTAAGGAATCTTTGCCTACTCCCAAGCTTGTGAATATTTTCCCCTATGCTTTCTTCTAGACATCTTACATTTTAAATTTGTATATTTAAGTCTATGATCCACTTGTTAATTATTTTATATAGTGTGATACAAACACTAATGTCTGCTTTTTTTCCCATAGAGAATCCATGTTATGGAGCAATATTTGTTGAAAAGATTTATTTCTGCCCTTGAATTGCCTCAGCTCATTTGTAGAGTATCAAACAATCATATATGTGTTGTTTTATTTCTGATTTCCTTATTTTTCCACCTCCCATTTTCAGAAGAAGAATTTTCAGTTCTTACCATTGATTTCTATGTCTGTCTTTTCACCAATTAATCTTAAAATCAGATAGTGTTAAGTCCTCCAAATTTTTCTTAGAAAAATGGCTTTTTTAAAAGGTCCTTTACATTTCCAAATAAATTCTTAAATCAGCTTGCCAATTTATATTTTTTAAAAGATCATTAGAATGTTGAGACCATGATAAATCTATAAGTCACTTTGAGGAGAATAGCCATCTTAATAATACTGGGTCTGCCAGTTCCTGAACATGGTATATCTCTAAATTTATTTAGGTCTTCTTTAATTTCTCTCATCAATTTTTAATTTTCGGTTTATAAAGCTTGAACATATTTTGTCAGATAAATACCTTAGAGATTTATGATTTTAGGATACACTCTGGTAAATGGAATTGTTTTAAACTTTCATTTCCCAATTGTATGCTGATACCATATATAAGAATATAATATTTTTTGTATATTAACTTTGTATCTTGCAACTTTGCTAAATCCACTTGTTAGTTCTTAGAGTTGTTCTGTAGATCCTCTAAAGTTTTCTACGTGAACAACTGTATCGTCCGAAATAGGGACAGTTTTGTGTCTTCCTCTCTAATTTTTATGCCTTTTATTTGTTTTTCTTGCCTTAGTATAGTAATTAAAACCTCCAGAACAATGTTGAAAAAAGGCAATGAAAATGGGAATCCTTGTCTTGTTCTCTATTTCAGGGGAAAACAATTCAGTCTTCATTATAAGTATGATGTCGGCTTTAATTTTTCACAAATGCCCTTTATCAGTTTGAGGAAGATCTGTACTATTTCTAGTTTCTGAGACCTTTTTGTTTTTTAATCATGAATGGGTATTGATTTTTGTCAAATGTCTTTTCTGTGTCTATTAAAATGATCCCATGATTTTTCTCCTTTACTCTGTTAATATGTTTAATTACACTGATTTGTTTTCAAATGTTAAACTAAACTTGCATTTCTGGGATAAAATTACTTGGTCATTATGTACATCATTTACTGTTGGATTCCATTTGCTATTACTGTATTAAGGATTTTTGGATCATATTCTTGATGGGATGGGTTTCTTATTTTTTGTAATGTCAGTGTCAGATTTTGGTATTAGATATATGCTAGATTTATACAAATGGGCTGGACCGTGATCCCTCCTTGTCTATATTCTGAAAAGTTTGTGTAAGACTGTTGCTATTTCTACCTTGAATATTGGGTAGAACTCCACAGGGAACCATCTAGGCCAAAGTTTTCTTTGGGAAAGATTTTCATTAATACATTTCATTGCTAATGGAAATAGAATTACTAGATTTTCTACTTCTTCTTGAGTTAATTTGGGTACTTTTTTTTTTTTTTTTCAAGAAATTTGTCCATTTTAGCCAGGTATGGTGGCCCATGCCTGTAATCCCAGCACTTTGGGTGGCTGAGGCAGGAGAATTGCTTGAGTCCAGAAGTTTGAGACCAGCCTGGGCAACATAGCAAGACCACATCTTTACAAAAAAGATTTTTTTTTTAATTAGCCAGGCATGGTGGCACGTGCTTGTAGTCCCAGCTAGTTGGGAGGCTGTGGTGGGAGGATCACTTGAGCCCTAGGGAGGTTGAGGCTGTAGTGATTTATGACTGTGCCATTGCATTTCAGCCTGGGCAACAGAACAGAGCAAGATCTTCTCTCAAAAAAAAAAAGAAAGAAAGAAAGAAAGAAAAGAAAACAAATGAAATTCATCCATTTTGTCTAACTTTCAAATTTGTCGACATAAATTCATTTATAGTACTCTATTAGCTTTTTAATGTCTGTAGAGTCTGTGACAATAACCCCCTTTTTATTTCTAATTTGGTGGAATATATATATATATATATATATTTTTTTTTCCCCTTGGTCAGTCTAGCTAGAAATTTGTCAAATTTGTTGATCTTTCAAAGCATCAGCTCTTTGCTTTCTTAATTTTCTCCATTGTCTATCTAGTTTTTATTTCATTGATTTTCTAAATATGCATTTTCTTCTTCCCCTTTACTTGAGTTTACATTCCTCTTCTTTTTCTGCCTTCTTAGAGTGGAGACTTAGGTGATTGATTTTATTTATTTCCTCTTTTCTACTAGGAAAGTTCATAAAGCTATGAGTTTCCTACTAAGCATCATTTTGTATCTCACAAATTTTGGTATATTACATTTTTGTTGTCATCCAGTTCAAAATATTTTCTACTCTCACTTGTGTTTTGTTTCTGACTCATGAATTATTTAAAGTGTGTTGCTTACTTTCCAGATATTTTGGGTTTTCTTCAAAATCTTATTGTTCTTGACATTTAATTTTACTCCATTTTGGTCAAAGAGAACACTTTGTATGATGCTGATCCTGTTAAATTTATGAAGTTTGTTTTATGGCCCAGGCCACAGTCTGTCTCAGTGAACACATTATGTGCACTTGAAAAGAATGTGCACACTCTGCTGTTGTTGGAAGTTATTTTGTAAAGTCAATTAGATCAATGTAGTTGATAACGTTGTTTAGATCTCGGCCGGGCGCATGGCTCAGGCCTGTAATCCCAGCACTTTGGGAGGCCAAGGAGGGGCGGATCACAAGGTCAAGAGATCAAGACCATCCTGGCCAACATGGTAAAACCGCGTCTTTACTAAAAATACAGAAATTAGCTGGGCGTGGTGGTGGGCGCCTGTAGTCCCAGCTACTCGGGAGGTTGAGGCAGGAGAATCACTTGAACTAGGGAGGCGGAGGTTGCAGTGAGCCGAGATCACGCCACTGCACTCCAGCCTGGGCAACAGAGCTAGACTCCATCTCAAAAACAAAAAAAAGTTGCTTAGATCTCCTATTGACATTTTGCCTTAATTATTGTATTTGCTGAGAGGGGTGTCAAAATCTCCTACTATACTTGTGGAATTGTCTATTTTTCTCTTCCATTCTGCCAACTTTTGCTTCATCTATTTTGAAGCTCTGTTATTGAGTGCATGCACATCTATAATTGTTAAATCTTCCTGCAGAATGGCCCCTTTCATCATTATGAAATGTTTATCTATGACAATACTGTTTATCTTTATTTTATCTGATATTCATATAGCCACTCCAACTTTTAATGCATTCTATTTGGCTAGTATGCTATTTTCTTACTATTTTGTGTCTATCTGTGTCACTATATTTAAATCCTGCCTTCTCTAAACGTTTATGATGGAGTCTTCCTTTTTTTAAAAAAAAATCCATTCTGACAACCTCTGCCACTTAACTGGGGTATTTAGTTCATTTCTGTTGAATGAAATTATTGATATGTTCGGATTTCAGCCTAGCATTTTGCTCTTTGTTCCTTGTTTTACATCTGGTCTTTGTTCTTCTATATTTTCTTTTCTACCTTTTTGAGGGTTAATTGAATATCGTGTAGAATTCTACTTTAATTTTTCTATTGGCTTTTAAGTTATATCTCTTTGCATTATTTTTAAATGGTTACTCTAGCTATTTCAATGTGTAGCCTTAGATTTTTCCTACTTAGAGTTAATATTATTCACTTGAAATGTGAGTACCTTCTAAGTCCACACTAATTTTAACCTTGTATCTTTTATGCTGGCAAGTGTTACATTTACATACTCTATAAAGCTCACAATACAATGCTATAACTTTTGCTGTAAACTTTAAGATGCATTTTAAAGAAATTAAGAATGGATTGATAGTTTTAAGAATATATATCTACATAGTTACCAGTTCTGATACTCTTTTTATCTTTCTGAGGATTTGATCTTCACTGGTACTGTTTCCCTTTTGCTCAAAGAACTATCTTTAGAATTTATCGGAAAGCAGGTCTGCTGGTGATAAATTCTCTTAGTTTTCCTTTATCTGAAATTGGCTTCACTTTTTTTCTTTATTTTTGAAGGCTATTTTTTGCTGGATATAAAATTCTGGGTTGGCAGATACTATATAATAATTATTATTATTATATGGAGGCTGGGTATGATGGCTCACACCTGCAATCCCAGCACTTTGGGAGGCCAAGACAGGAGGATCACTTGAGCCCAGGAGTTCAAGACCAGCCTAGGCAACATAGTAAGACCTTGTATCTACAAAATATTTTTAAAATTAGCCAGGCATAGTGGCATGTGCCTATAGTCCCAGCTACTTGGCAGGCTGAGGTGGGAGGATCACTTGAGCCCAGAAGGTTGAGGCCATAGTGAGCTGTGATTGTACCACTGCACTTAAGCCTGGGTGATAGAGTGAGACTCTGTCTCAGAATAATAATAATAATAAAAGAGTTCCCATACACCCTACACCCAGTTTGCCTTATTATTACAGCTTTTATTAGTATTATACACTTGTTAAAATTAACGGACCATTATTTTCTGGAAGAGAGTATACAGAATTGGGATTTCTTTTAAGGAATTTCTTCCTTAAAAGTTTGGTAGAATTCAATAGTAAAATCATATCACCTTGGTGCTTTCTTTCTTGGAAAGTTGTTACTTTTTTATTCAATTTCCTTAACAGATACAGACCTATTCAGATTATCTGTCTCTCCTTGTGAGCTTTAGTAATTAGTGTTTTTCAAAGAATCAATCCATTGCATCTAAGTTATCAAATTTAACTTACATAAAAGTTAGATTTTATTTAAGCATAGAATTGTTCATAGTATTATTTTATTATCCTTTAATGTCCATGGAATCAGTACATGAGCCTGCTTCTATTCTGATATTGGTAATTTATCTTTTCTCTTTTTTCTGATTAATCTGCCTAAATCTTTATTAGTTTTATTAATCTTTTTAAGAAACAATTTCATTGATTTTCTCTATTGTTTTCATGTTTTCAATTTCTTTGATTTCTGCTCTAAGTTCTATTCTTTCTTTTCTTCTGCTTTAGGCTAAAACTGCTCTTCTTTCTCTGGTTCCCTAAGGTAGAAACTTAGATTATTTTAGATCTTTTTTCTTTTCTAATAAACGAATTCAGTGCTATAAATGTTCTTGCTTTCACTGCATTCCCCAACTTTTGATAAATTGTGTTTTGTTTTTTAATTCAAAATATTTTAAGGTTTCTCTTGAGAATTTTTGACCCATGTGTTATTTAGAAGTGTACTGTTTAATCTTTACATATGTGGACATTTTCCAGCATCTTTTTCTTATTTATTTTTAGTTTGATTTCACTGTGGCCTAAGAACATACTTGGCATAATTTCTATTTTCTTACATTTATTAAGGTGTGTCTTATGGTCCAGGACATGGAGTATCTTTGTGAACATCACATTTAAGCTGGAGAAGAATGTGCAGTCTGCCGTTTTTGGATGGAGTATTTTAGAAATTTGTCAATGAGATCAAGTTGATTGATTGAGCATGCCATTCAGGGCAACTGTATCCTGACTGATTTTCTGTCTGCTTCATCTATCAAGTCCTGAAAGAGGTGTGTTGAAGTCTTCAACTACAAGAGTGGATTTTGTCCATTTCTCCTTGAATTACATCAGTTTTTGCCTCACATATTTTGCTGTTCTTTTGTTCAAAAATAATAAAGCTATTTTAACTTCCTATTGATTAGTGTTAGCAAGGTGTATCTTTCCTCATCCCTTTGTTCTTAACATATCTGAGTCTTTATATTTAAAGGGGAAGTTTTCTTATAGAACACATGGAGTTAAATCTTGCTTTTTTAATCCAATCTGACATTCTTTTAATTGATATATTTAGATAATTCACATTTAAAGTGATGATTTACATAGTTGGATTAATATCTACTATATTCGTCTATATTGTTTTCTATTTTTTGCCTTTGTTCTTTGTTATATTTTCCCTCTCTTTTTTTTCTGCCTATTCTGGTTGTAATGAGCAGTTTATATGATTTTTATTTTCCTTTCTCTCAGAATGTCAAGTATGCTTCTTTATTAAATTTTTAGTGGTTGTTCTAGAGTTCGCAACATACATTTTAAAATAATCTAAGTATATCTTCAAATAACACTATAGCACTTCACATGTAGTGCCAATACCTTATAATAAAGTATTCCCAACTCTCCCATCCCTTATGATGTTGCTGTCATTAATTTCCTGTATTCACATTGTATAATTACCGAATGCATCATTACATCAATTAAAAATAAGAAAAATAAAAAATTTTCTTTTACTTTCATTTATTTCTTCTCGAGTACTTGTCCTTTCTTTATGGAGAGCTTAGTTTCTGACCTGAAGAACTTCTTTTAACATTTCTTCAGAACATGTTGTGGGTGACAAATCCTCTTAGTTTTTATTTGTGTGAGAAACTCTGTTTTTCCTTCTCTTTTGAAGGATAATTTCACTGGATGTAGAATTTCAAGCTGGTAAGTTTCTTCTTCCAACACTTCGAATATTTCACTCAACGTTCTTTTTGCTTTTTTGGTTTCTAAGGAGAAGTCCACTAAAATTCTTATCCTTGTTCCTCTGTAGGTAAGATTTCCCCCCCACGCCAACTCTTAGGGGTTTTTTTTAGAGATTGTCTCTTTATCTTTAGTTTTCTGTAGTTTGAATATAATATGCCTGGGTGTAGATTTTTTGGTAATTATCCTTTGGTATTCTGAGCTGTCTGGAACTGTGGTTTAGTTGTCATTAATTTGAAAAAGTGCTCAGCCACTTTTACTTCAAATATTTCTTCAGCTCTATTCTATCTTTCTTCTCCTTCTGGTATTCCAATTACATGTAAGTCACTTCTTTTGTAATTATCCTGTCAGAGGCATTGGAACCAGAGCAACTCCATCTTGAATAGGAGCTGGGTAAAATGAGGCTGAGACCTACTGGGCTGCATTCCAAGACGGTTAAGGCATTCTAAGTCACAGAATGAGGTAGAAGGTCAGCACAAGATACAGGTCATAAAGACCTTGCTGATAAAACAGGTTGCAGTAAAGAAGCCAGCCAAGGCCGGGTGCAGTGGCTCACGCATGTAATCCCAGCACTCTGGGAGGCTGAGGTGGGTGGGCCACGAGGTCAGGAGTTCAAGACCAGCCTGGCCCAGGTGGTGAAACTCCATCTCTACTAAAAATACAAAAATTAGCCGGACATGGTGGCACATGCCTGTAATCCCAGCTACTTGGGAGGCTGAGGCAGGAGAATCGCTTGAACCTGGGAGGCGGAGGTTGCAGTGAGCCGAGATCGTGCCACTGCACTCCAGCCTGGGCAACAAAGCGAGGCTCTGTCTCAAAAACAAAGAAAAAAAAGAAGCCAGCCAAATCCCACCAAAACCAAGATGGCCATCAGGGTGACCTCTGGTCATCCTCACTGCCACACTCCCATTCCCACGAGCACCGTGACAGTTTACAAATGCCATGGCAATGTCAGGAAGTTACCCTTTATGATCTAAAAAGGGGAGGCATGAATAATCCACCCCTTGTTTCGCATATCGTCAATAAATAAACATAAAAATGGGCAACCAGCAGCCCTTGGGGCAGCTCTGTCTATGGAGTAGCCGTTCTTTTGTTCCTTTACTTTCCTAATAAACTTGCTTTCACTTTACTCTATGGGCTTGCCCTGAATTCTTCCTTGTGTGAGATCCAAGAACCCTCTGTTGGGGTCTGGATTGAGACCCCTTTCCTGTAACAATCCCATACTTAGTCTGTTTTCTTTTTTATTTAAATTTTTTTCTCTTTGCATTTTTGTCTGAGGTGTTTCTATCGATCTATCTTCAAGCGTACAATTTTTTCCCAGTCATGTCCAGTGTACTGATAAACCCATCAAATGCATTATTTATATATTTTTTTACTTTTTGAGACAGAATTTCACTCCGTTGCCCAGGCTGGAGTGCAGTGGTGCAATCACAGCTCACTGCAGCCTCGACCTCCCAGGCTCAAGAAATCGTCCTGCCTCAGCCTCCAAGTACCTGGGACTAGAGGCACATACCCCCGTGCCTAGCTAATTTCTGTATTTGTTGTAGAGACGAAGCCTTGCCATGTTGCCCAGGCTGGTCTCAGACTCCTGGGCTCAAGTAATCCATCCATCTTGGCCTCCAAAAATGCTGAGATTACAGGTGTGATCCACTGTGCCCAGACAGCATTCTTTATTTATGTTAGTGTATTTTTATTTAATTTCTAGGGTTTTCTTTTTTCTTTCTTTCTTTTTTTTTTTTTTTGAGACAAAGCCTTGCTCTGTCACCCAGGCTGGAGTGCAGTAGCGCCAACTCGGCTCACTGCAACTTCTGCCTCCCGGGTTCAAGCAATTATCCTGTCTCAGCCTCCCAAGTAGCTGGGACTACAGGCATGTGCCACCATGACCAGCTAATTTTTTGTGGGTTTCACCATGTTAGCCAGGATGGTCTCGATCTCCTGACCTCGTGATCCACCCTCCTCGGCCTCCCAGCATGCTGGGATTATAGGCGTGAGCCACTGCACCCAGCCAATTTCTAGTGTTTTCTTTTGATTCTTTCTTAGAGTTTCCACCTCTGAGCTTACATTAACTCTATGTCCTTGCAGTAGAATCCTGCATGTATTAATCACAGCCATTTTAAATTCCCTGTCTGATCATTCCAACATTTGCATCATATCCAGATCTGGTTCTGGTGCTTGCTCATTTCTTCAGACTTTGCTTTTTCTTGCCTTTTAGCATAGCTTATAACATTTTTTGAAAGCCAAACATGATGTAATTGAGTAATAGAAACTGATGTAAATAGCCCATCAGTGTGAGGTTTATGTTAATCTGGCTAGAAGTTGGGCCATGTATAATGTTTTCTGTATGTTGGGGCTTAGAAACCAATACCCCAAAATACGGCATTTTGACATGCTGAGCTGAAGAAGCTTCCAGGTCTCTCTGATCTCCCTCATTACTTTCTTTGCCATATAAGTTGAAGTTCCTTTATCTGCCTATCTACTGTGGAAAGTAAGTCCAACAACCTAAGCACACCTGAACAGACATGTTACAGGTACAGTGACTGTCTCAGAGTTCTGAATCCATTCACTCTTCCTAGTAATCCTCTCAAGACAATTCCTCTTCTGCCCGCTACCACAGCCTGTTTGATCAGGATGCAAGCCCCCATTCTATCGGTAACCTCGAGATGGTATACAAGCTTTTGTACATCACTGGGAGGTTGGGTCTTCATTCTGAAGGCTCCCATGTATACACATTAAATAAATCTGTATGCCTTTTCTCCCATTAACCAATCTGCCTCATGTCAATGATGGTTTTCAGCAAGTCTTTAGGGGGCCAAGGGCCTTGCTTCAAATTCCTATTGTCCTTATTTTTGTCTCCTCTTTAGAAAGAATTTGTGTCTTCAACTCTCTCAGCTGTAATACACTGTACTGAATTACACTGGAGCCCTTTTGGAATGGTGGTGGAGGAAACCAGAATAATTTCACACCAAAATACGTTGCCCCGGTATGATGAGTATTTTGAATTAAGGCTCTTAGAGATCAGCAGATGCTGGAATGGGTTTTTTCTTAGCTACATAAAAACTGGACCCACCAAGGAGAACAATTGCTTCCCATCCCCTCCCTGAAATCTCAATGTCTATGACAGAGATGAAGGCTGAGGAATGTAACCACACCAGGATGGACCTTTTCATCAGATATCTGTCTCTCAGGGTCATTCACATTCCAAAGAGAATCATTTACAGATTAACTTTTGATCCACTCATTCTCCCTAATAATAATTTATTGATCCTCAAAAGAAATAACATGGCTTTTCAAATTAGATTCAGAAAAAAATAAGAAAGAATTACCTACATTTCCCATTTGCTCCCTCCCCTATCAAGAAAGTTATATAAACATCTGGATTCCATTGGGTTATTGGGTGATCATTCTCCTGCAAGTCCCCCATGCTACGCACAGTACAATGAATTTGTGTGTCTTTGTCTCTATTCATCTGCCTTTTGTCAGTTGATTGTCAGCAAACCTTCAGAGAGCAAAAAGGAAGTTTTTCTTTGTTCCCTACAGTAACAAAGTGTAGAGAAGAGGAAGTCATCAATAATCACACGATTAAATCATCGTCTTTCTTTTTTTTTTTTTTTTTTTTGAGAAGGAGCCTCGCTCTGTCACCCAGGCTGGAGTGCAGTGATGCAGTCTCGGCTCACTGCAACCTCTGCTTCCTGGGTTCAAGTGGTTCTCTGGCCTCAGCCTCCTAAGTATCTGGGATTACAGGTGCACGCCACCACACCTGGCTAATTTTTGTATTTTTTGTAGAGACAGGGTTTCACCATGTTGGTCAGGCTAGTCTTGAACTCCTGACCTCATGATCTGCCTGCCTCAGCCTCCCAAAGTGCTGGGATTACAGGCGTGAGCCACCGCGCCCGGCCAAATCATGGTCTTTTAGTGGGTCTGGGTCCGCAGGCTGTGACTTTGGCAGGTGTTTCTCAGCTTTCCCGGCACCACTTCCACCTCAGGTGAGACAAGGAGCTGGAGTAGGAGAAATGTCTTTCCTGCAGATGGGTTAAAGCTCTGGGAATCTTGAAGAGTAGGTCTGTGTTATGTAAAATGCTCTTTTCACTATGGTCACCCTTCCCCTCCTGCCAGAGCCGTGACAGTATCTTTGCTGGCTCTTTGTTGTTTCTTCGCCATGCGAACCTGGTGATTTCCCAGAGGTAAAACCCGTACACTGCGAGGAGGGCCAAAGACTGCCTCCCCCAGGAGTTTCCCACTTTCACACTCGTCCACTTAGCATCTGGCAATCCATCAAAATTACGCAAAATTGAAGTGTTCCTACCAGTTTGAACAAAGCGAACTCAAGTCCCCCGGGGAGTTTGGCTCCAGGGGCTTCTGCTCTGGGAAAACACATCTCCGCCGTGACTCTGGATGCAACTGTCTCCCCAGATCACATGCGGTGTTTGCCTTGATACCTCAGCTGTCTGAGGAGCCCATGAAAAGTTGCTGATTTTCAGTTTGTTCAGCATTTTCTTACTGTAAAAAGGAAAATCATGACTTCCAAGCTCTCTACATATTGGACCTGAAACCAGAAGTCCCTTTCAGCACTTTAAAGTTGCCATTCCACTATCTTCTGGCCTCCATTATTTCTGATAAGTCATGCGATTGCAATTTGCATGTAAAGTGCCATTTTTTTCCGGCTACTTTCAAAAGCTTTTCATCTGTAGTTTTCAGCAGTTTGACTTTGACGTGCTCAGGTATGGCTTTCTTTGTATATTTGGATGGGGCAGGGGAGCAGGGAAAAAGAGGGGAATTTTCTGAACTGGAATATGTAGATTTGTGTGTTTCACCAAATTTTAGAAAATCCAGTCGCTATTTGTTAAAAAAAATTTTTTTTGCTTCATTATCTCTGTCTTTTCCTTTTGGAACCACAACTACATATATCTTAGGCCTTTTTGGATATCATCCTACAGTTTACTGAGGCTCTGTTCATTTTGTCTAGTCTTTTTTTTCCATGATATTCAGATTGGATGGTTTTTATTCATCTTTATTAAGGTTCATGAACTCTTTTCTCCTTTCTCCTTCATTTTGAAACTCCTTTTCGTGTGTTTTTAATAATGTTCAATCTTGTGTCATGTTTATGAGATTCGTTTTGGAAGTTGAGTTGTATTTTAGTCATAGAGGAGAAATCTGACTGACATCACTTTAACTGAACAATCAAACAACGTCACCTTAATTGAACGATCAAACTTTAACATCACCTTTATATAATGGGACCAGAAGACATTGGGTTCCCCTTACCCCACCCCACCACCATGAAATACAGTGAATGGGAAGTAAACAATATCATCTAGGTACTATTCCTGTCAAAAATGTTTAACATACATCCTGAGGAAACAATCAGAAATATTCAAGTTCTGTAAATCAGAAGTATTCAAATTCTCTAGACTTCTCAAAAATGTCAGTGTCATAAAAAACCAACAAAAAAAGAAAACAGGAGGACTATTCTAGATTAAAAGATACTAAAGAGACTTGGCAACTAAATGCGATGTGTGATCCTTGATTGTATCCTACATATTTTTAAATCCATATACAATGGACTTAGGAAAACTTTAACATGCACTACCCAATAATACTTTTGTATCAATGTTTTCTCAAAGTAATACTAGGATCATGTTTGTGTAGGAGAATGCCCTATTTTTAGGCAATAAATAGTATTTAAGGATGAAGAATCATGATGTCTGCAACATACTCTAAAATAGTTAAATAAAATTAGAATATATATGCATATATATACACATTTTAATATATAATGAATACATGTGTGTGTTCGTGTGTATCTCTCTGTGTGTGTCTGGGTGGAGGAGAGAAGAGAAAGAATTCGAATATAGCAAAACATTAAAATTGGTGGATCTAGCTGAAGAATATATGAATGTTTATCATATTATTCTTAATTTTTATTGAAGTATCACATACTTACAGAAAAGTATGCAGATCATAAGTGCCTATTATAGAGCTGTTCTTGATATTTTTCTGTAGGATTGAAATTTTTTAAATAAAATTTTGGGGAAAAGAAAACTGGTCACAGACTAGGTTCTATATACTGTCAGTTAGTCACACATGCCTAGGCGAGCGGACTCTGAAACTAATGTCACTGCTACCAGGTATCTCCTCTACTTGGAGCAGATAGCTGAAGTCAAGGTAAACTTCTTAGGATTAAATTTTACGCCTTTCTAGCACTTGCCACAGCCTCAAACTCTCTATCGCATAACACAACGAAACATCATAGCTCTCCTGTGTCTTGTGAGACCGTCCTACTGTGGACAGAATTCTCCTTGGGAGTGGGAAAAGGTTAAACCTACATTCATTCACAAGCATGAAGATTTTCCAAACCAAGTATAAGCATGTCCCTCCTCCATCTCACTGCCCTCTTCTGGGAAGAGACTGGTGAACTTGCAGAGGTCAAGAAGCCTCCTGAGAGAAGAGTTCACAAGCAACACTGACTCCTTCCTTTTGAAGATTCCCACTATTAGAAGATCTCTGATGGGCTGAGATGATTGAGTCTGGGACGATCTGGCAGGAAAGAAGTCCAAGTAGACCCTCCTCCAAAGCTCCCCATGGGCCACTAGCAGCATTTGGATGTGGAGTCAGAGAACAAAAGGAACTTAGACCTCCCTAAGTGTAGATTCCCCAACCCAATCAGTTAATGAGAAAGACTGAGGGGGAGCCTTGGTTCTTCCCTTCTTCAGCCCACAACAAGTCCCTTCAGACTGAGAGAGCACAAGAATTCTCAGATAAACAAGGTGGAATATCTCAAGAGGGACCAACTTCCTGTGAGTTTGGCTGTGGGGGTGGTTAAAGTGATTAGTCTGAACATTACAAACAGATGTAGTCATATGTGTCTTCCAAGCTAGTAAAGCAAGTTTTGTGTTGCAAGGGGTCAAAGGCATTTTCAAAGTCAAAGAAATGTTATCGGTCTATTCCTCATCTGCAAATCATACACCCCACACTGAAGGAGATATGTTCAAATTCTCACTGCCCACTTGTCCCTGCCTACTCAGTCTCTCCACACTCCTTCTTCCTCCCAAGTGGAGAGGCAGCAGCAAGTGCTGATGGGGAGTCAGGGAATGAGGCAGGGGGATGAGTCTCAAAGGACCTTTGTTACTGTAGGTAGTCAGACATGAGCAGGGCAGGAAAGGGCCCCCCACCCCCGACCAGGAATGTCAGGCGACCATCAGGTGATTGTTAACTGTCTCTTTAAAATATTAATAATAATTGGTCGCAGCCAGCACTAGGGAAAGGCAGTCTTCCAATCGATAGAAACATCTGAAACTGGCGATCAGCAGCTTCCCAGTGAGATCGCAGGGGCTTGGTAACTGAGCTCAAGCATGCGCACTAAGAGGAACAATGGCAGAGTTTAACTGGTATATGACCTTCCTCTAGGAATGCTGGACTGGGAAGGGAAAAACGCCTCGAGTGAGCATGCGCACGACCTCAGTAAACACTGCGCATGCGGCCTTCCCAAGTGCTGGCAAGCCACTATGTTTGTGGGCAGCCCACCCCAAGGGAAGCATCAGGGGAGATGGGTTGCGACCACCCGGAAGTGTGCCAACATATAAAACCCCGAGTCAAAGGTCAAACTGTGCACTTGATCTCTCAAGTCACCCTCCTGGACCTCTTCCAAGTGTACTGTACTTCCTTTCATTCCTGCCCCAAAGCTTTTGAATGCACTTTCACTTCTGCTCTAAAACTTGCCTTGGTCTCTCATTCTGTCTTATGTCCCTTAGTCAAATTTTTTCTTCCAGGGAGGCAAGAATTGAGGTTGCTGCAGGCCAGTACAGAGTCGCTGCTGCGAAGATACTTTGGTGCCGTGTGACTCAGATCCATCCCCTAGCGGTCACACCGTGAACTTTTCGGATCCATCCCCTAGCGGTCACGCCGTGAACTTTTCGGATCCATCCCCTAGCGGTCACACCGTGAACTTTGCTTTAGTCACGTGGCTTCTCCCTTCCGCCGCCATTATTCCCACTCAACGAAGTAATAGTCGGGCTCAAACACCACACGGAAGGCTTTGGCTCTAAAAAAATTTTTGTTCTGGCTTCACATAAGGCTGAACTCTTTTTTTCTAAAGTGATCCAAGAGTAAGGATTATGTTTCTCTGAACCTACTGGATTTTGTATGAAGTCTCTGAGCCAGGACACACATTTTAAGTGAAATCACACAATCTCAAAGTATGTTTGTACAGCCCAATTTCATCTGGAAAAGCCAATACTGCTACACAAGGATTTTTTTTTAAATTCCAAAGCAGTGAAGTAGTTGGAGCTCAGTAGCCCAGAGATGTGAATTATGCTCTCAACTTCATTATTTTAATGTTTAATTTGAGCATTTTTTTTTCTTTTGAGACAGAGTCTCACTCTGTCACCCAGGTCTTCATGTCCCAGGCCCAAACAATCCTCCCATCTCAGCCTGAGGAGTAGCTGGGACTATGACCGTGTGCCACCACACCCAGATAATTTTTTTTTTTTTTTTTTTTTTTGTAGAGACAGGGCCTCACTGTGTTGCCCAAGCTGGTCTTGAACTCCTGGGCTCAAGTGATCCTCTCATCTCAGCCTTTCAAAGTGCTGGAAATACATGTGTGAGCCAGTGCGCCCAGCCTCAAGCATCTTCATTATGATATGTATAAATATGTATCTATTTCAGCAAAGAAGAGAACTCATCCAACAGACCATACCAGACAAAGCAAAAATTGTGTAATTTTACTTTTGGCAACATCTCTATTGCATTGACTGGAGAGGGTTTGGCACTTCCCATGGAAAGGATGGCAATTTAAAGTAAAATATTATTGAAAACTTTATCCACTTGTGTTGGAGCCAAGTAGCAAAAGAGACACTAGAGTTTCTCCTGTCCTGCTGCTAACATCATGGTCTCAAGTCCAGGCACAGTATCTAGAAATACGTTTCGACATCCTGCCTGACGTCTTCCTGTAGCATGGCTGGCACCATAATTGCAGAAGAACATCCAGAGGCAGGTCCCTTTACTAACAGCCGTGCCTGCATTTCAACAGCCACTGGACTGCACCTGTGGAGAGAATCACTGCAGCCAAAATCTCTTTGTGGTAGACAAAAGCACCAAGAGCTTGTTGTGTTGAAATCAGGAAGGCACACTAGGGTGAGTAAGAATAATTTGCAGACAGACCAACCACTAACTCTATAGCCTCTTTCTAGAGGAGGTGAAAAATGCTTCCATTAAAATCCTGTATTTCACATTCTCTAAATATTTGAGCTTCCTGACAGGCATTCTTCTCGGAGTTGGGGAGGAAGCTTGACTCAGCTCAGCTTTGTAGGCCCATGAAGTCTTGAGGCACACACCAATGACAGGATACACTTGTGCAGCGTCCCAGGGTCAGGAGAGCTGGAGCAGGTCCAGCTCCTCCACAGCTTGGGGCATGGTGGGCAGGCAGCAGAGAGGAAAACAGTGGGAAAAGCTGGACAAGGACTAATTGAAAGCCAAGGTCGTTACTCTGATTCAATCATTCCTTCCTGGAAAGAGAGCGGTTTTGTGCTTAACCTCGTGGCCTAAGGTTTCCAGGATATTGCTGGCTCCTGGATCTCTCTGGGGCCAGCTTATTTACCAGGCTTCTAGGCCCAGGGACAGAAGGATGTCAGAGGAAATTACTCAAATGGGACACAAAGAGAAACCAAAGGCAAAGAAAAAGCTTTTAAAAATGCTGCTCACAGATCCTTCCAGTAGAAATTGCAATCAGTTAAACAGATGCCACATTTTTACTGCCCACTACAGCTTTAAAGTGTATTTCATGGAGTTTCAGACTATTTAAATTTTTTTCCAAAAAGAGTGTCATTTGGAGAATGTCCAAAGGGAGAAAAGCAAATTGATAACTTCTAAAAAACTCACTTTAACCTTTTACAAGCCCGTCTCTGAATATGCCCAAATGTATGCAAGATCTTCCTTAAAGTTTTCCAGAGTGAGAGGACAAAGTGCCTGTCTACCAGGACAGCCTTCCCAGTTTCCTCCTACACAGTGTTGGCTGGAGCACGTCAAAGCAGACCGTGTTTTAACTTAGTGCTTTGCCATTCCTTGGCATGTGGTCAGTGACCTGAGAAGCAGAGTCCACACAGATGCAAGTGAGGATGCCAGGAATGGGGAGCGTGACCTGGAGGACCTCTGTGATGAACTGAATAAAACCAAGGTGAGCAGGGTCCCAGAGCAAGACAGTGGTGTCTAATGGACGTCTTTCTAAAGAAAAGACCCGATGAATCTCTGAAGATCTCCCTTGGGGACAATGAGGCAGATTTGTACCTTAACCCCAGAGGGCCAAAGTAGGAACAAAAGGGAAACAGGATTTAGTTCCATACAAGGAAGAACATTTTAGCTGGATGCCCCAGGGAGCAGTGAACCCCCTGACCTTGGCCTACCTCTAGTGTACCCCAGGTGACTGCTGCCGGGAAATCTGTGGAAGGGACTCTTGTGTAGACAGCAGAACCAGCCTAGAGTGTCTGCAGTAAGTATTGACTCAGAGAAAGGCAGGGCAGTAAAGGCATATTTCCCCAAGGAAGGAGGCCTTCTGGTATCAGCATTTCCAGTTCCCAGCAAAGGCATATTCTGAAAAGGTCATTGCACATAAGCACTGGAACTTCTGAGGGTAGGGCCTTAACGGATTCATTTTTGTGCTCCTCTGTAGTAAAGGAATGGATGAGGAAGTGAGTGAATGGAAACTGATCTGCTCTCAAGGAGGGTGATAGGACACTATGTACCCCCAGCCTGGGGGACAGGCAGAGGAACAGCGCAGGAAGGCTAGGAAAGTATGTTGGGGCAAGATTATGAAGACCCTTAAGAGGTAGATGGAAGAATTTGCATTTAATATGGCAAAATAAGCCTCAGCCTATGCCCCTGCCTAAATGTAGGAAACGGTCAGCTCACACTCCCAAATCTCCCGAGCTCACAGCTCCAATATCCTCTTGCTCACACCTCAAGTCTCCCCCACCTCACACTCTAAATCACCCAAGGGCACACTCCAAATATCCCCTCGCTGAGGATGGTTGTAAAGTATTCCATGGGGTCTTTTCAAGACTTAATCCTTTCTGGAACCAAGTGATCAACATCCTTGTCTACCCAATCTCTCCAAGACTGTGGCAGAGACGGCTAACATTATCAAAGACTGATGTTTCTTTGCCAACCCGTCTTTCAGTGAGTCAGGGTAGTCTAACTCCTGTGATAAAAACTTCAAAATTTCAGTGGCCTAACACAATAGACATTTATTTCCCATCATGGCAGAGTCCAAGGCAGACATTTCTGGGCAGCCTTCTGTGATTGGCTTTGTCTGTCTTGAATTCTTCCCTCTGCTAGGACCTCAGAGTCCTCTCATTCAGCTGGTGAATCACAAAAGAGGCCACAGAAAAGGCACACTTCTTAATCATCACAACATATTAGTGAAAGACAGCAGTTCTATTATTATCTTATTCGTGAAAACTAGTCTTTCACCTAGCTGCAAGGGAGGCTGGGAAAAACAGTCCCTAACAGAGAAACTAAAGCTGCTTTGTAGCCACAGCTCTACATTCCAGAAGATTCTTTAAAGTTCTACCTGAACCTTAAAGAATCACTAAATATGAAGTGTGGGCTGGCAGGGGGTTGCAGACTCTGAGACTGCAGACACAAGAGGGGCTCTCACATACAGACTTCTCCAGAAACCTCCACCCCATGCTCTCAAGAAAGATTGGACAGGAGAGAGAACAGGAGAAAGCCACCCTGAGAGGTGCAGTCCTGCAGATAGGAGCACTGATGCTGCAGGCAAAAGCATAAAGCCTTGTCCAGGATCTTCTCCCCTGAGGCCTTAAGCCAGTAGGGAAAGGGCAAAGCTTGCTGTCCCAAGAACACTCACTGTAAGTAGGAGAAGGAGTAAAGATGAAAACTTCAACCTCTGAGGAGGGGCAGAGACCACCCTGGCTGGATCCAGCTGATTAGAGGTCTTCTGTTGGGTGGGTGGTGGGGAGGGGGCAGAAAACTCTCTTGGGCACAAGAACAGCCTGAAATACACGGCAGTTTGGCCGCCACAGGGAAGAGGGGCAGGATTACTGAGAAAGCTCCAACCTCCAAATCAAGAGACACACAAGGCCTGCCTAAGACTGAAGTTGAATCAGGACAACGGGACACACCCCTGTCCTTGTCACCATCCTGTTGGTCAGGCTGAGGCACTGAACAACAAGCAAAATCTCCTGTTGGCCTGTTTTCCTGCAGAACCAGAAACGATCGGGAATGCTGAATTCTCTGGGTCATAGAATTTCAAGCCTCAAAGGCAGTGTGTGAGTAAGGGACCCTAAAGAGCTCCCCCTGTCTATTTGAATTTCAGGCCCGCAGACATCATCGGTGCTGTGAAGAGGGGAGCTGGGAGGAGGGTGTTGACATGAACACATCAAACTTTAGCACATCAAACGAAGAGGTCAGTGGTTCTTACAGTCTAATAACAATGGAAGAAAACACGGGCAAAGGACATGAATAGAAGTCCAAACAAATGACCAATCAACACGTGAAAAGATGTTCGAGCTCACTCCTAACTAAAGAAATACGAACTAAACAAGCCAACACCATTTTCATCTTTCTGATCAGCAAAGATGGAAAACTCTGATATCACTTTGTGTTGACAACGGCGTGGGGAAGCAGACTTCAGAGGCAGAGACTCTTAGTGTGCATTTGAACTAGTGCAGCTTTTTGAGATGGCAATTTCACACATATCAAAATGGCCAAAGTGCCATTTCACTCTTCCATAGTTATCCAACAAATAAACATTGGTAGAGTCCAAAATTTCATGGAAATACAGTCAAGCGCCATACAACTATAAGTACATTTCAGTCAACAACAGACTGTCTATATGACAGGGGTCCAAAGAGATTGTAATCCTGCATTTTTACTGTTCCTTTTCTATGTTTAGGCATGTTTAGATATGCTAATACTTACCATTGCATTACAATTGCATGCAGTATTCAACACAGTAACATGCTGTACAGGTTTGCAGTGGAGGAGCAATAGACAATACCAGACAGTCCAGGTGTCTAATAGGCTACACCATATTGGTTTGTGTAAGTACACTCCATGATGTTTGCACAATGATGAACTTGCTTAATGTATTTCTCAGAACATATTCCCCTTGTTAAGTGATGCATATATAAATATATAAATATCCATGGCTATTCATCACATACACCAACCTGATGAGTCTGCTTCCAAATCGCCAGTGGTATTAATAGAAGGCCCCAGCTTGGCCTAAATATATGGTCAGAGCCGCTCTGCCCCAAGCGCAGCCCTGTGTGCAAAGTGACCTGGAGCTTTGGTAAAAGTCTCCCTCCAAGACAGCTGGAAAAGGCAAAAGAAAGATTCTGTTTCTTGCGTTCTGGAGATGCTTTCTTCTCAAAGGTAACCCCATCAGGGTGTAACAGCCCAGGGTTCACCTTGCCTGTGGCCTGAACAGAGCTGACTTATCAAGACAGGAAGATTGCAATAGAGAAAGAGTAATTCACACAGAGCCAGCCGTGTGGGGGACTGGAGTTTTATGATTACTCAAATCAGTCTTCCGAGCACTAGGGGATCAGAGTTTCTAAGGATAATTTGGTGGGTAGGGGAAGGCCAGTGAGTTGGGAGTTCTGGTCAGTTGGGTTGGAGATGAAATCAGGGAAGTGAAGCTGTCCTCTGGTGCTGAGTCAGTTGCTGGGTGCGGGCCACAAGACTAGATGAGCCAGTTTGTCAGTCTTGGTGGTGACAGCTGATCCACCGAGTGCAGGACCTGCAAAATATCTCAATCATTGATCTCAGGTTTTACAACAGTGACGTTATCCCCAAGAGAAATTTGGGGAGGTTTAGAATCTTGTAGCCTCCAGCTGCAGGACTCCTAAACCATAATTTCTAATCTTGTGGCTAATTTGTGAGTCCTGCAAAAGCAGTCTAGTCCCCAGGCAGAAAGGGGGTTTGTTTTGCGAAAGGGCTGTTACCATCTTTGTTTCAAAGCTAAACCATAAACTAAGTTCCTCCCAAAGTTAGTTCAGCCTACGCCCCCAGAATGAACAAGGACGGCCTGGAGGTTAGACGCAAGATGGAGCCAGTCAGGACAGATCTCTTTCACTGGAGTAATCGTCTCAGTTATAATTTTTGCAAAAACAGTTTCAATCGTGCAACAGAAAAGTCAACAACAAAGTTCAATCTGACTTCAGGAAAATGTGAGGAATTATTTAGCCCAATGACCTCCAGACTAATAAGAAATCTTACCTTCAACCAGCAGGTTTTGTTGGAGAAACTGAGTGGAAATACAGAAATTTCAGCCAGCTTCCCCTCTTGCTTTTGCTAGGAGGGAACGAGAGACATAGGAGCTTTGACGAGTGCCTTGGGATGCTCTAAAACCTTAATTAAGTCAGCACTGAAAATTTAAGTACCCAAAGGCTGTCTCTCCATATTAGAGCAATTCTCACAGCTAAATCTCAAACCGTAGCTTTGACTTAGCGAAGTTTTCACCTTAGGGAAAATTAATTGCTAAAAAGTTCTTTTCATTGTTTTAAATAAGATCATGTTAACTTCTTTTCCAGCAATCAGCAATTTCCACTGCAATTTTTTAAAAAATCTTCTTTGGCGCTCTGTTCTTATAAACTAAATACTAGGCATCCCTAGCTTCTCATGATCTCACCTGGAGATCATACAAGTCAGGAAATGAAACAAATTACTCTCCTGACGAGAATAACAGGTACCCTCCAGGCCTTCGGGCTGTAACTACACATGCAGACGAGTTTGGGAGGAAGTGTCTAGATGTGCAGACAAGCAGCTAAACCAGATTTCTATCATTTGCTTATATATTTCCCCAAATTTTCTTATTTGCATAGACCTAACCTCAGATTTATACACAGACTCAGAGAATACTATGCATCTTAAAATTCCTAATAATAAGTCCCAATCAATTTCCTCCGCAAAAGAAAATTCAACCCTTGTACTTTCTGTGAAGCCAGGCACCATGCTTAGACGAGAAGAGTAGCCGAGAACATGGATTCAGACAGGCCTGGGTTCAAGGCCTGGCTCTGCCATTAATGAGCTGCTGTGACTTGGGGCAAATTATTTTATTTCTTTGAACCTTGGTCACCTCATCTGTTATGTGAATAATAACCATCTTACAAGTTCCCAACAGCAGCTTGAATTACATGAGATCATACAGCATGAAGCAGTGATCAAAGTTCCTGGAAGGTAATCAGGGTCCCAACCAGTGTCAGCTGTCAGTGCAATTAGAGGAAGACCTGCCGCTGATAACTTATGCCTAGAGAAGTTGCTTGTATCTCTGTTAAATCAGGCCGTGGGGCCAGGTCATCTCCAAGGGCCCCTTCAGAGCTAATGGCTAAGGGGATGTTCGACCCTCTGGCAGGATTAGTTAAGCAGGTGCTCCTAGCTCCCTACTTCTGGTTTCCGTGGTAGGGAATTTCTGTGAAAACACCAAAGGACTGCCCTTTCCATCTGGGCTGGCTGGGGATGTAGTGACCTCTCCATCAATGAAGGCACTGGGCTGGCTGGGGATGTAGTGAGCTCTCCATCAATGAAGGCATGCAAGGAAATGCTTGACAACCACTTGCTGGGAATATAATAGAAAAGATTCAAACATCAACAAGAGTCAAACTACAGATTGTGTGGGGAGCTGCTTCCAACCCAAGTTTCCCATAATTCACATGCTCTAAACTCCCCAAGAGCCAGTGTTTGTCGTTAGAACCAGTCACCTAGAAAAGCTGTGAGTCAGTCACCCTGTGCCTGTTTGTCCTTCCAGGCAAAGGTAACATGGCCAAACCCAAGCCAAATCTGGGTCTTGCAGGCAGGAGGACAGCAAAGGACCAGCTCAGAAGCTTTCCAAAGTGAATCGCTGCCTGTGGCTGGTACACCCTGGAAAGGTCCAGGTCAGATGATTTCCAAAATGAATTACTGGCCTGGCGCGGTGGCTCACATCTGTAATCCCAGTACTTTGGGAGGCCGAGGCAGGTGGATCACCTGAGGTCAGGAGTTCGAGAACAGCCTGACCAACATGGAGAAACCCCGTCTGTACTAAAAATACAAAATTAGAGGCATGTGGTGGCGCTTGCCTGTAATCCCAGCTACTTGGGAGGCTGAGGCAGGAGAATCACTTGAACCCCAGAGGCGAAGGTTGCAGTGAGCCGAGACTGTGCTATTACACTCCAGCCTGGGCAACGAGAGTGAAACTCTGTCTCAAAAAAAAAATAATAAAAATAAAAATGAATTACCGCCTGTGGCTGGTACACCCTGGAATTCTCCACCCAGGAATCCAAAAGAAATTAAAGGCCTGAGATGGGGGCCTTGGGGAAAAGAGCCAGCAGCCCGCACTGGCAGTGAGAAGCTGAGTGAAATAATGAAACAGTGAGATGTCAGGCAAAAACTACCTGGAGCTGGGTGTTTCATTCACAAGAGTGACTCCATCTCCTCAGAATGTTAATGACATGTGGACTTCCTTATGTTATTGCTTAGTTTCTGTTAAGGAATGGAACACAGAGTTCTGGGAGACAAGCAGGAAGACCCATTACCAGAGGTGATGTCATCAGGTAGAACAAGACACGGCCTTGTTGGTCAAAGTGCCAGCACCAAGGCTGGCTGGGGCAATGGCGCCACCATCTAGTTTCGCTTTGTCGACATGGCCTTGGGAAGATATCAGCACCTAGGGGTCTAGCACCCGTTCATGCCCACGCTGCTTCTATGCAGATGTTTTCTGGCTCTCGGTCCTCCAGGGCCTCCAGGCACTTTGCAAAATGCCCTTAATGAAATGAATTCTCACTGCAAGTATTTCCCAAGATCATCTCCTTTCTGTTGAATAGCCAGCAGGCCCAGGATGGCGAGGTGACATGGTCAAGGTTGCACATGCATTTTCTCAGCTGACGGCAGTGGAATTTTGAACACCAGAAACAGCAGAATAAATAACTGTTCCGCCGTTAGAATAGATGGTCCTGGATTTAAATCCCGCTTACTCTCTGTGTGATCTTAGATGACTTACTTAACCTCTCTGTACCTCAGATTCTCTAACTATCAAGTGGGGATGAAACTAGAAACCATTTCACAATATTTTGTGAGTATTAAGATGCGCAGTGCTTAGAGCAGTACCTGGGCATGGCAGACATGGGAATAGTAGCTGCTACCATCATGGTGCCCAGATCACTCAGATGCCTGGCAGTGGCAGGGAAAAGAGTAGCTTTATAAGTGGGAAGGGAAAAGCGCCCTGTCCCTCAAAGGAGGTGT
Organism: Homo sapiens; assembly: GCF_000001405.40. Lineage (NCBI taxonomy): Eukaryota > Metazoa > Chordata > Mammalia > Primates > Hominidae > Homo > Homo sapiens. The sequence goes on from NC_000003.12 coordinate 194,938,789, forward strand.
GGCTCAAAGGTCAACCCTGCCTCACCCTCCTGTCGGCCACCCATCGTCCAGACTGGCTGCTCTCCTCTCCCCCGTCAGACCTCAATAGGGTGGTTTGGGGCCCAGCATCTGCCCAGAATGGGGCCATTCCAAAGCAAGCAAGAGGCAAGAGAAGCTGAAGGGGATCTTAGAGCCACTGGCCCCCTGGGAGGAGCAGCAGGGCAAGGCCTTCTGTGATGCTTCCCCTCTTGACAAATGTTCTTGGCTCCTCTGGCTGCTGCCTCTGCCAAGAGCCAGCCTTGTTCTGGGTTGTACATTTTCTCCTGAATAATGACGTAAGCACAGCCTTTCTAGGGATTAATGATGACCGCCGGGAGGGCTGACAGCCCAGAAAACATTGTGCACCATCTCAGCTCTGTTCTTCTCTGGGCAAGAAGATCTCTACCTCCTCTGGGAGAGGAAAAGGGCTTTGAGACTACAGGGACGGCACCTCTGTAACTGTCTTACGCAGGATCCCTGAATGCTGATGGGCTCACTGGGACAGCTGGAGTCCCAGGGCTGAGCTCCCAGTGACTACCCCAAGGTCAATTGGCGTTCAGTGTGGGCAGGGCAACCATGCTGGTACAGGGTGCTGGGTGCAGGGGAGGTAGAGGGGAGACGGAGAATGAGTGTTGGGGACAGGATTCCTGTTCTCAGAGGTAAGGCCAAAGGGGCTGATCAGACAAGTGCACAAGTAGCTATGAGACACCCTAGGGAGTAAGTGCCACTCAAAGAAGGGGGACACATTGCTTCTAACTGCAGAAGTCTCAGAAGGTCGTGTAGAGGAGGTGAAAGGAATGTGGGCTGGGCAGAGCTGGAATCTGCTGGGATGGAGTAGAAAGACTCCAGGTGGCATGAGCAATGTGGCAGGAACATGCTGGGTAGGAACACACGGTCCAGCAGGGCTGGAGTGAAGGAGCCTGAAGGGGGTTTGTGTGCAATGGTGCTCAACTCCTAAAATGCCAAGCTAACCACGGGCTTCTCTAGGAGGGAATAGGGAATAGGGAGACGCTGGAAGGCTTGGGGTGGCCCTGGATTGGGGAGCGCAGGCCATCCGTTGCATCCTGATGAGTTCAAGTATGTGCCCCTTTGTCTCCATGACAGGCCTGGGTTGCTGGGTGCTGGGACATCAGGCCTGCAGGACCCCGCAGGGTACGTACCCCCTCCACGACCCTCCAATGTCCTCGAGGAGCCCTGCCCACCCCCGACCTGAACCAGGCACCACAGGCGTTAGGGACAGTTGTGCCGGTTGGCTCCCCAGAGGGCCGGAACAGGAAGACCCAGCCCCAACTTTCCCCTTTCTCCCACATGCAAGGGAGTTGCAAGAAGCAGTTGTACATGAGGCCCCACTTGACAGAATGGCCTACGCAGGCCTCTTTAGCAGAGAGTGGCCTTGTCAGCTCCCAGGTCCAAATGACTGTTAGCATGCTGGCTCTGATCTGCAGCAGTGCCGGGCCCTCTCAAGCGCCTCCCTGGCGTCTCTGGGACTCTGGCGCTCTGTATCTGGCCCCAGGGTCTGGGGTGAGGCACTTGCCCGTCAGGGGTCAGAGGATCTGCTCAAAGCAGAAGCTGCTCTGATGCTGGGTCAGCAGTTTTCCCTCCACATGGCATGCTCCAGTCACTGTTTGCAAGGGCAGCATCTAGATAGTGCTGGTCACTCTGGTCACTGCTCCTGGCCTCACCTGTAGCCCCCATGGCCAATATTGCTGGCAGCCCACACACAATCCCCACTGCTGGCTCAGAGGGGCTCAGGCTGCTGGCACCACTTGAAAGCTGAATGTGGCTCAGACAGCAGCAGTCACTGAAACTGCCCCGGGCCCTGGGCTCAAACTCGGGGGGTAGGGGAGGGTGTTCTGGGGTCTGCAGCAGCCTGCTTGGGAGTGGGAATTCAGTTCGATCCATTTAATTCAACTTAAAGATTTGTTGAGTGCCTGTAAGAACCAGGCCCTGGGCTGAGATTAGACATATCCACAAGCAGATGTGGCCACAAAAAGGCCACCGTTTATAGTTCAGGGGGAAGACAGGAGCATAGCAGATACAACACAAGGCTTCTGCACACACCGTCTCTTCTGTCTGGATTAACCCGCCCTCATCTTTTCACCTAATTAACTTTCCCTACTCTTCCCCCAGCTTTCAGCTCAGTGTGATTTCCTTGGAAAAGTTTTCCCAGCCTTCCGCGACTCAAGCAAATCCCCAGTTCAGTCCTCAGTTGGCCGCACATCCCACTCCTCGGCAGCATCGTCCCTCTTGCATTTGACAGTTGCCTGTATGATTCTTTCATTAATGTGTGTCTCCCCAGCTAGGCTGATGCAAGCTCCATGAGGACAGGACAAGGGTCCACTTCCCTCGCCACTCTCTGTTGAGTGCCTGGCACAGCGCCTGGCATAGGAAGAACCCCATCAGTACGTGTTGGGAAAACACACGAGAAAAAGCGTATAGGACAAGGTCACTGCTAGAGTTACGCAGATGGAAACTTGAGAGCATTCAAAGAGCTGAGATTGAGGGTGTAGAAAGCTGTCCTGGAGGAGCTGGCAGATGAGGAGAAGCTTGCCTCTGGCAGGTAGAGATGGGATAAGGCAGGAAGAGCAGACCACGGGAACTTGGAGGCCAGGAAGCACAGGCTGCACCTGGTGACTGGCAGGAGTTTGGTATGTCCGGAGCTTAGGGAAATGAATACACTGAGAAATGAGGTGACATGGGGTGACAAGCCTTGGATGGCAGGCTAGGAGCTGTGTTGTTAGGGGGCTGTGCAGGGCCATTGCTGGCTGGAGAGAAGCTGGACCCAGGAGGACCAGTTAGGAAGCCATGGCAGTTGGCCAGGCAGAAGCCAGACGCGAGGGCAGCAGGGCTGATGCTGAGAAGCAGTGGAGAAAGAGGCCATGGGCATTTGGCTAAGGAAACAGCTCTGGCTCATCATTCATCCCTCAGGCAGAAAAGGATGGGAAGCAGGGGGCAAGAGTCTACCCCCAGCTAGCTGTGTCCCTGGTGGAGCCTGAGTGGGGCCAGGGCGCCGCTGCCTTCTGAATTCTTGCCCGGCTGGGCTGCAGTGAATGTCCTGCTCCCTCCCTGGCCTGTGGGAAGATGTGGTGCTGGGAACCCCTGGACAGCAGATGCGTGTGGCCAGGGTGTGCGGGGTGTCCTCCACTCCCCTCCAGGCCTCCTCTCCACCCTTCTCCACCCGCCCCTGGGCTTTGGAAGGCCATTCCTTGGACTGTGTAAGCCTGGTTGACTTGCCTTCGAGTGCCATTGGGTTGAGCCACGTGGTATAATTAAAAACTATATCAGGTCTCTGTCCTCAGTTCCTGGCACAGAGCTCCTAAAACCCTCGGCATTTCCTGCATGACAGGAGTGTCTTCTGTTACCCAACACAGCCCCTTGCCACCATTCCTGAGTTCATGCTAATGAGATGATTCAGGGTGGAGCTCCGAGATGGCTTTAGGATGGGGACTAGTCACCCCATGTAATTAAATCAAACATGTAATTAGAGGGCGGCACCTTCAGCCCCATCCCCTGACCTTTGGGGAGGGGAGAAGGGTTAGAGATTAACAGCAACGTGGGGAGCTTCCGGGTTGGTGAACACACTGATGGGAAGGTGATGTACCCAGCCAGGGCCTGGGAGCTCTGGGTCACACCCCTCCCTCCACCAGCTCACTGCCCAGGGCATCTCTCCCATTCGCCTGTCCCTGTCTTCTCTCCTTCCTGAGGAGCTGGTAAACGTAAGCGAAGTATCTTCCTGAGTTCTGTCAGTCATTCTAGCAAATGATTAAACCTAAGCGGGAAACCCCTGAATTTGTAGCCAAGGGGGACAGAAGTGTGGGTAGCCTGGGAACCTGGAACACATCTCAAGTGGGGACCCTCTTATGAGACTGACCCCTTCACCCATGGGGTCTGGGAATTACTGTCAGAATTGAATTGAACTATGGCCGGGCGCAGTGGCTCACGCCTGTAATCCCAGCACTTTGGGAGGCTGAGGCGGGCAGACCAACTGAGGTCAAGAGTTTAAGACCAGCCTGGCCAACATGGTGAAATCCCGTCTCTACTAAAAATATAAAAATTAGCTGGGTGTGGTGGCACACATCGTAGTCCCAGCTACTGAGGAAGCTGAGGCAGGAGAATTGCTTGAACCTGGGAGGTGGAGGTTGCAGTGAGCCGAGATCACACCACTGCACTCCAGCCTGGGTGACAAAGGAGGCTCCATTTAAAAAAAAAAAATTGAACTATTATACACCCAGTTGGTGTCAGAGAATTGGAGAATTACAGAACTGGTGCAGAAAAAAACCACACAAGCCATTGGGTAGGAACAGCAGGAGGTCAGTGGCAGGAGGAAAGTAGGGAAGTAATTCTCTCAGCTTCCTCTTTCGGGTTACTGAAGATTAACTGCATCCCCTACCAAAGACAGGACTTCTACCCAGTGGCTCTCCCACAGCTATAGCCCTATCAGAATTCCCAGACCACGCCTCCCACACTCTCCCACTCTCTCCCACACTCCCACACTCTCCTACTCTCTCCCACACTCCCACACTCTCCCAAGCTCTCCCACTCTCTCCCACTCTCTCCCACAGTCCCACACTCTCCCACAATCCCACACTCTCCCACACTCTCCCACTCTCTCCCACACTCTCCCACATTCTCCCACACTCTCAATCTCTCCCACACTCTCCCACACTCCCACACTCTCCCACTCTCTCCCACACTCTCTCCCACTCTCTCCCACACTCTCCCACTCTCTCCTACACTCTGCCACACTCCCACACTCTCCCACATTCTCCCACACTCTCCCACAGTCTCCCACACTCTCCCACTCTCTCCCACACTCCCACACTCTCCCACATTCTCCCACACTCTCAATCTCTCCCACACCCTCCCACAGTCTCCCACACTGCCACAGCTACAGCCCTATCAGAATTCCCAGACCACCCCTCCCACACTTTGCCCCTCCTAACCCTGAGGAGCTTCACCATCCCATGATGATTTTTTTTCTTTTTTCTTTTTTTTTTTTGAGAGGGAGTCTTGCTCTGTCATCAGGCTGGAGTGGAGTACAGTGGTGCCATCTCAGCTCACTGCAACTTCCACCCCCCAGGTTCAAGTGATTTCTCCTGCCTCAGCCTCCCGAGTAGCTCGGATTACAGGCACGCGCCACCAGGCCCGGCTAATTTTTGTATTTTTAGTAGAGACGTGGGTTCACCATGTTGGCCAGGCTGGTCTCGAACTCCTGACCTCAGGTAGTCCGCCTGCCTCAGCCTCCCAAAGTGATGGGATTACAAGCATGAGCCACCGTGCCCGGCCCTGAATAAATATTTCTTAGCTACACATACATTACTATTTTTCAGATTAATCTAAATGCTGTTGTAATACAAATTTATTTGAGTGTTAGAGCTTCATGTAGTTTTTTGTAAGTATGTATGTTCTTTATAAATTGATGCTGAAAATAGAACTATACTCACAAGGGAGAGGTCCTGAAACTGGAAATCATGGGAACCCTAGCACTGGGGGCCTAATTCCTGCTTCTTGTCCAGAGGAGAGATTTTAGTGGGAAACTGTGAGTTCTCTGCCTGAGCAGACTCCTCCTCTAGTCTAGGCATATTTCTTTTTTTCTTTTTTGGGGGACAGAGTCTCGCTCTGTCACCCAGGCTGGAGTGCAGTGGCGCGATCTTGGCTCACTGCAGCCTCTGCCTCCCAGGCTCAAGCTATTCTCATGCCTCAGCCTTCCCAGCAGCTGGGGCTACAGGTACACACCACCATGCCAATTAACTGAAGACTAACTTCATCCCCCTATCCCCTACAAGTTAATCATCAGTTAATTGTTGTATTTTTTTGTAGAGTTGTAGAGATGGGATTTCACCATTTTGTAGAGACGGGGTTTCGTTGGCCACGCTGGTCTCAAACTCCTGGACTGAAGTGATCCGCCCGCCTCGGCCTCCCCAGGCGTTGGGATTACAGGTGTGAGCCACCGCGCCCAGCCCTTTACGCGTGTTTCTATCTCTACACCTCCCTTTGGTTCATCCAGCTCTGTGTGTCCACACTCCTGGCTTGGGTGCAGCCCTTGTGCTGATGGATTGGCAACCTTGGCACAAGGATACCCATGCTGATTCCCACTGGGGGATGGAATCATTTTTTCATCCCCTTTCTTCATTCTGGGCTAGAACAGCAAGACTGGAAGAACTCTAGAAATTAGTTGTTAACCAATCCTTTCTTTCGGAAGGCTGAGAAATTGTAGCTGGGGAGGGGAATGGGCTGTTCAAGGTGACCCTCCCTCGGTGGAATGGGGTCTCCTGACCTAACTTCAGTCCTCTTTCCATTCCACCAGAAAAGACACTTACCAAGCTCTCATTAAATTAAGTTTTAACATGACTCAGGGTCTCTGGTCAATTTATTTTAGGCGTTTGTGCTCATTTCTATCTGAAGAAATAAATACATACCTATTTAATTTTACTTTTCTCATTTAAGTGTGCCACTATTTTGAGAGCAACCAGGGAACAAAATTCTGACCCCATTAATGGGTCTCATTTTGTTGGTCTTTATCTTTATAGAGCTTCCTTTTTTTTTCTAACTTCCTTATACACTTTGCCTTATAATTCCACCATTTAATTTTTACCTCTGGGGGAGGGCCAGGGCCTGGAAGATCTGTTTCCAATCATTACAATTATTAAGATGATGAACAGTAGCCCCTTGATTCCCCAGTGGGCACATCAGGGCTTCAAGGTGGGGTGAGGTAGGCAGGAAGAGTGGAGGAAGGAAGCAGAAGCGAAGAACCAAGGAGAAGAGAGGGGGGAAGGCATCTCTGAGCAGCCCCAGCACTCCCTGCAGCCCCTTTCAAAGCAGACAGCAGGTGCTGAAGGGCTGTGCAGGGCCTCGTCTCCTGCCCCGAGGGAGCCTGAGGCTGTTGGGAGGGGCAGGAGGGCTCCTGGAGCTAGGGGAGCCGCACCAGACCATACGTTCACCTTCTGGAACCCCGAACACCGCTGGGGAACGCGTGCGAGCACCCCAGGGCTGGTTTGAGAGGATGGCGAGGACCCAACTTGGAGGCCGGCTGAAAAGCATCTCCTTCACTTCCTCCCTCCCTCTCCCACTTTCTAGAATTTCTCATTCGTCCACTTTTTCATACGTCGATTTCCCAGTCCTCCTCTCATCAATCACTTCTTCCATTTATTTTAACTCCATCTAAAGCCTTTATTTATCCCCCTTTTTCTCTCGACACTCATCTCTATTTGTGTGTTCATGGTGCTGAAAACCGAACGGATAACAAATTGCTTCGATTCGGACCAGATCCTTCTGCTGAGCTCCTTGGCCTCTGAGGCCGCCTATAACAGCGCCTGCATCGACTCTATTTGTTTTCTCTCACTTACGGTCCCAGTGGCGCTTAATTTTTCATCATGCATTTCTGTCGTCTCCTCAGTTTCCCTGTAAGCATCTTCAGGAACAAGCCCATGGCCCCCAGAGCCCCTTCTCCTCACCGAGTCCTATCCTCAGGCCTCCCGCCAGGCCCTGCAGCTGCTCAGGAAATGGGTGTGGGGAGATTAATGCCTCCTCACACCCCATGAAGGCTTCTGACCTTCACTGCACAGTGGAATGCTTTCAGCTGGGGTGGTGGCGCAGCCAGGGGTGGCTTGAGTTGGCCTTACACCCAATCACTTCCATCATCCATCCCAAATAAAAATACACTAAGAAAAAAGAACACTCACTAGCAAACATCAGCTCAAGACAATCACCAGACTCTTACACCCCCCACCGCCAGCTTTCTACCTGAGTCTTTCTTTCCTCTGTAGAAACTGGCCCCTGGTCTAGGAAGATCTTTCCCTCCATTCTCTGACTATTTACACTATTTATGTATTTGCCTCTGCTGAAAAAAAAAATCATCTTTCTTTTCTAAGTAATGATTGCCAGCGCTAAGCTGGGAGCTAGTGACAGGGAAGATGACTTCATTGACTTTGTCCTTGAGGAGAACGTGGCAAAGGAGAATGACAAGTATACATGTACAATTAAATAGACATTCATCTTAAAATGTATTTAATTTAATTTTTTTATTTTTTTTTAAAGAGATGAGGTCTATGTTGCCCAAGTTGGTCTCAAACTCCCGAGCGCAAGTGATCCTCCCACCTCAGCCTCCCAAAGTGCTAGGATTACAGGCATGAACCACCAAGCCTGGCCTTAAAATGTATTTTAGCAAGTACATACTGTGTGTCAGGCATCATTACAGGTGTTGGACCACAGCAGAGAACAACAGAAAAGTTCAAAGAACCCTGACAGGTTTATAGTATTTACCCATTGATAGGGCTTATAGTATTTACCCATTGTTGCAGGTTAGGCTCTCCAAGGAAATGGGCTCTGAGATTGAGGTTTAGTGCACAGGATGTTTCTCTTTTTAAAATTTCTTTTAAAATTATTATTAATTTTTTTTGGTAGAGACAAGGCCTCACTATGTTGCCCAGGTTGGTCTTGAACTTCTGGGCTTAAGCTATCCTCCTGCCTTGGCCTTCCAAAGTGCTGGGATTATAAGCATGAGCCACCACACCCGGCCTGCAGAATGTTTCTTAGGCAGTGCTCTTGGGAATATCTTTGGAGAGGAGGGGAAAGCCAGATTGGGCAGAGGGGAAAGTCCAGCTGCAAAGCAAACCCAACAACAGAATTGGCCAGTCCTACAAGGGCCTGGAACTAAAATACTCCATATCAGACTTGTCCTGTTTGGGGTCAAAATGACTAGACATTTATACTCCCACCTTGATCAGTCATTGGATGAGGGCCATTCCAGGAAGGATGATGCAGCCTTGGGCAAGGTAGCTCTTTGCAGCTAAGATGATTCCTGAAGGGGCTGACAGTTGAAGGCTGTCAACAATGAGCCCTGCCTACAGCTGGGGCAATAAGTGCTTCGTTAAAGGGAGAATTGGGAGATGCACCACTGTGTCCATAGCATCCACAGCACGGAGGAAGGAGGGGATATTCAGAGGATGCTCTTGTACACCAATATCTGTGTCTCCTTTTCTTGTTGGGATACTAGTAGACTGACTTTCCAAGAGCTCTTGCATCTAGTGGGGCTATGTGAATAGTTCTTGTCAATGGACACACCCTTGCAGGTTTGTCCTAAGAACTTCCACAAGCTTCTTCGTGATCTCTTTTTCCTCACCTGCCAACCAGTTATCTGAATCCAGCGAAAAGGTTCAGTGCCCTACCAGGTACCCAAGCCACACAATGGAACTTGTGTGTCAAGAGAAAAATATCTAAAAATCTTAAAAGATAATTCACCTGTTAAATCCCTGAATTAATGGAACAATGGATCCCTGAGTGACAACATGGAGCAGAGCTCTCACTTCTGTCACTTCCACTCGAGTCAATCAACATTGCACTGTGACATGAGGAGGATAAAATGTTTATTTTGTATTAATTGTTACGTTCCACTGAGATTTGGCAGCTGTTCGTTTCAGCAATTAGTATTTTTTGACTAATATAATAATTCATTTCTTGAAGTGGGGTACTTCCATGACAAAAACTAAAATACAAAGGCTGAGCAAAAAGGAAAGAGATGTAGCGGGTTAGGTAACTGGAGATCCATGTTATACTCAGACAGACAAAACATTTGGTAAAAACTATTGCCTATTATAACCTGGAAGTAAAAAACACATGCTCTAGGAGAGGCGGAAGGAAACGAGTAAACAAGAATATTATGCTGTTTTGCTTGTTGTTGCTGCATTCGGCAAGATATTACAAGAAAAACAATGAGCTCAGAAAAGAACTGCTCAATTCACAAGAAGAAATGAAACAGAATGGAGAGAATCAGAAATTCGGGACACGCAGCAATGGGGAAAAAAAATGACCTCTTCTAGAAAACTCTTTCCTCTTTGGGCCTTATTTTTCTACCTCCCCAGATAAAATTAATCTCGTATTAGTGGAGATCTGCTAACTGTTGTAACAATCCCCTGTGTTTAGTACAATGAAAGTTTCTCTCTCAGACACTGTTCAGTGTCTGAATTTTAAAAGGTTTTGAACAAAGAAGACCCAATGAATCTTTCTTCTCACTAAACACAGTGAATCACCTCTGAGGCAAACATCAACTCATGGATTGTACCTTTCTACCCAAGTCTGATAGCCTCAACATAGCCATCATTATGTTAAGAAAGAATGGCATGAGGAAGCAAACAGAAAGAAGGCAGCATTGAGAATTATGACTCGGAAAAAAAATAGGGGTATAATTAATAGCATGTTATTCAATCTGACTGGTATCCTTATAAGAAGAGGAAATTTGGCACACAGAGTGGCTCAATGAACTTGTACACAGAGGCAGCCATCTACAGGCCAAGGAGGGGGATCTCAGAAGAAACCAAAGCAGGTTGGACACGGTGGCTCACACCTGTAATCCCAGCACCTTGGGAGGCTGAGTTGGGCAGATCACCTGAGGTCAGGAGTTCGAGACCAGCCTGGCCAACATGGAGAAACCCCACCTCTACTAAAAATACAAAAATTAGCTGGGTGTGGTGGCAGATGCCTGTATTCCCAGCTACTCGGGAGGCTGAGACAGGAGAATCACTTGAACCTGGGAGGCGGAGGTTGCAGTGAGCTGAGATTGCGCCATTGCACTCCAGCCTGGGCAACCAGAGCGAAACTCTGTCTCAAAAACAAAAACAATAACAAAAAAGAAACCAAACCTGCTGAGACATTGATCTTGGACTTCCAGCCTCCAGAGCTGTGAGAATTGATGGGACACAAATAGATTAGAAGCCTCCTAAGTTGTTGAGAGAACTGTGTTGCCAACGAAGCCAGGAGACTGGGTTTAAAGGGTTTTGAACATCCCAACAACCCAAAGTTCCTAAATTTGGAGCTAGATACAGGGACTGGATGGGACTTTGCTTATCCTCCCCTGGGAGGAAAGCCAATGACAGGCTGTGGCAGAGACTGCTAAGGAAGGCTCCTACCCTGGGTTCATCCTGCTACCACGTGCATCCGTTTTCTAGGGCTGCCACAACAAAACACCACAGACTGCGTCCCTTAAACAACAGGCATTTATTTCCTCACAGCTCTGGAAGCTGGAAGTCCAAGATCAAGGTGTCAGCAGGTTTGGTTTCTTCTGAGACCCCCCTCCTTGGCTTGTAGATGACTACCTTCTGTGTGCAAGTCCATTGAGCCACTCTGTGTGCCAAATTTCCTCTTCTTATAAGGACACCAATAAGATTGGATAAGGGCCCACCCTAACAGCCTCATTCTAACTTAACTGCCTCTTCAAATGGCTCTGCTCTCTATGCAGCCACATTCTGAGGTACTGAGGGTTAGGATTTTTAACATGTGAATTGAAGGGGACAAAATTCAGCCTTCACATCTAGGTAGGCCACATACTCCACTTCCAGCCTGGACGCTTTCAAACCACCCGTGACACCTGTCACGGTTGCTGCTTCCCTGCCTGTCACGCTGCTGCAGAAAATCCAGGAGGAGGCTCCGAGGCTCTGGAAGACAGGGAGACCACGCCAGGGAAGGAGACTGGGTCCTGAGTGGGTGTGCACAGCAGCACCCTCCCGCAACCTGTCCTGGACAGGGTCTGAGGCAGCAGCGTGCACTGAATGAAGCCCCTGAGACTTCAGGGTTGAATGTCACGGCAGTTGGCAAGTCCCCACTGACACAGACAGGTTTATTTTGGGCGTCTTCACCAGGACTCAGCCAGGCCTGCCGTGTGTCAGGGCAGAGAACCACGCATGTCGGCACCTGGCTTGCATTTTAATAAAAGTTATGATTGGAGTTGTATGGGCTTAAGAAAAAACATTCAAACACTGAGTGAGAAAATCTGGCACGCACCTTCCCTAATGACATTCTCCAAGTAACAATTTTAAAAAAAGGTAGAGGCCACGCACGGCGGCTCACACCTGTAATCCCAGCACTTTGGGAGGCCAAGGCGGGCAGATCACGAAGTCAAGAGATCGAAACCATCCTGGCCAACACAGTGAAACCCTGTCTTTACTAAAAATACAAAAATTAGCCAGGTGTGGTGGCGGGTGCCTGTAGTCCCAGCTACTCGGGAGGCTGAGGCAGGAGAATCACTTAAACCGGGGAGGCAGAGGTTGCAGTGAGCCGAGATCATGCCACTGCACTCCAGCCTGGGCAACAAGAGCGAAACTCCATCTAAAAAAAAAAAAAAAAGAAAAGGAAAGAAAAGAAAAAAGAAAGGAAAAGAAAAAGAAACGAAAGAACAGCAGCCTTCCTTCCTGCTAGCTGTGAAGGAATGGCTCTGAGTCTCTACGTTGTTCCCAGTTCCAGAGAGGCACCCTCGTGTGTCAAGAGAAAAATATCTAAAAATCTTAAAAGATCATTTTTGAGATTGTGAAATGCGTGTGTGATGGTGAGTTCCTCGCGTCTGCAGAAGTCTGCTGCCACTTGATTGACTTGGCTTCCAAGGCTGGTTCTGTGGAGAGCCGTCCCACCCAGGTGCTCAGCCTGGAGTTGAGATCCACCCCAGGGTTCTGGATGCAGGGGTCAAGAGTCCACCTCCCTCAAACAATTCTAGTCAAGTGTGCTTTCCAGAAACGGAAATCTTTACTATTTTAGCACAAATAGAAAAATAAACACGCATTGCACACGTTTGCCTCCCCACCCCCTGCAGAAATAAACACCCCACTAGAGGACATAATCCGGAGCAAGGCTGCGGGAGACATCCAGGCTTTGACGCTGGCCTGGTGCCTCATAGAGGCAGCGTCGCACGGCGGTTAGTCACCTGGGCTTTGGCATTAGGCCGTCAGGTCCAGAAACTCTGCTGACCACTGGGCAGCTGCCTGTGGCTTGGGGAAGTTATTTCAGTTCTCTGAGCATCAGATTCTCCATCTATAGATAGATGTGGTGATAATAATAACATCACTTCCCGCAAAGGGTTGTATGTGATGAAACAAAATCATGCATAGAAAACACTTAGCAGGCCGGGCGCGGTGGCTCACGCCTGAATCCCAGCACTGTGGGAGGCCGAGGCGGGTGGACCACAAGGTCAGGAGATCGAGATCATCCTGGCCAACATTACTAAAAATGCAAAAATTAGCTGGGCGTGGTGGCACTTACCTGTAATCCCAGCTACCTGGGAGGCTGAGGCAGGAGAATTGCTTGAACCCAGGAGGCAGAGGTTGCAGTGAGACAAGATCACACCACTGCACTCCAGCCTGGGTGACAGAGCAAGACTCTGTCAAAAACAAAAAAGAAAGAGAGAAAGAGAGAAGGAAGGAAGGGAGGGAGGGAGGGAGTGAGGAAGGAAGGAAGGAAGGAAGGAAAGAGAGAAAGAGAGAAGGAAGGAATAAAGGAAGGAAAGAAAGAGAAAGAAGGAAGGAAGGAAGGAAAGAAAGAAGGAAGGGAGGAAAGTAAAGAAAGAAAGGAAGGAAGAAAGAAGGAAAGAAAGAAAGAAAGAAAGAAAGAAAGAAAAGAGAAAACAGCAGAGCCCGTAGTGAACACTCAATCAAGATGAGCCATTATTACCTCCTCCTGCTAAATTCGACTTTCCTTCCTCACTTCAAGAACTTCCAACTCTCCCTATTGCTTCAGTTGCTGGTGAGCTGTTTGCGGGACCCCTGTGTCCCCTGGGTGTCCTCTGGGTTCTCCTGCCTGTGTTCCTCTCGCTGCTGCCCAGACACCAACCCCAACTGTCCTGCTGAGAGCAGGGTGGAGTGCTGCTGTGTGCGTTCCACCTGGACACCAACCAGTTTCCATTCTGTGAAATTTCCTCTTCTTCCTTGGCTTTCATTTCCACCCACTGAAAACATTTGTGAGTTATTTTCTTTGTTTAACAAACATTGAGTATGCATGTAATACAGTTTCGCATTTCTAGCCTAATTATTATTCTAAATCATCACTTAACTTTCATATGTAATGTTTACTGATTTTATAGCAACTGTATATATAATTAATCAGTGTACTTTGGATTACTAGTTTTTGATACTAGTTTTTGATACGCGCTGTATTTGTTAGTCCTTGGAAATCTTGATGAACAAGCTATTATGCTTACATAATACGATAATGACATGGAAATAGGTTCGCTGCAAACATAGGGAAAAGCTGTCCAAGAAGCCCTTGGCTCTTCTATCTTGGCTCTGGGGGCTCTTGGCCTGGATCCTGTCACCTGTAGACACTGGAATAAGCGTGTTATCCAGCAGACCTCAGTGAGCTTTGGGGGAAGACCCAGAAAGCCCTAGCTGCGTGAGACGGCCCAGCCTTTCCCTTTCTCTGGCACTTGCTCGGCCTCTCCTGGCAAAACATCCCAGCCTGGATTCAGCCACCATCCAGATGCTGAGCCCCACCCCAGACCCTCTAAAGAGGAGGGCTCTATGCAAGTTGGCCTGTGGTATTTGCTGAAGGGAAGCAGATCCTGTCTGCTTTGTTATCAGCAACCCCAGATGACCCCAGCTCTCATGTGTGTGATTGAGAAACGCTTCCTGCTCGTACAGAAGCCACACAGGGGTTGGTGGGAGTGTGCAGCCTCCAGGTGAGTGTGTGTGTAAGTGGAGTGTCAGGTGGAGTCTCTTCAGCCTCTCTCTCTCTTTCTTTCTCTCTCTCTCCTCTCTCTCAAAGATTGTTTGACTTGGATTTTCACGACACTATCACACACAATGTCCCAAATGATTCTCAGAACAGCCCAGAGAGCTGCACAAGGGAAGAAGCTTGTGAATCTCACACCAGATGTGCCAGAGGCCGGAGGCTGCACTCTGCCTCTCATCCCATGGGAAGGGACAGGCACCCAGGAGCACTGTCCTGCCTCCTCTTCCTCCAGCCCACGCTTCGAAGAGCTATGACCTTGTCCTTAAGGGCTTTACAGGACCTCGTGGCTCCCTAAAGCCTGAGGCCCAAGTCCCTCACTTTTATGTGCTTTGATGGTCTTGCCACCTTCTTTGTTTGTTTGTTCATTTGTTCATTCATTCATTGAAAGAACATTTCCTGAGTTTTCTGGAAGAAGATGGGACACATTGGAAGAATAGATGTCTGGGAATGCTCAGACCAGATCAGTGTGGATAGTGACTGGGGAGTTGGAGGGTTGCAAAGAAGTCTGAGGCAAGGAGCCCAGTTAGAAGGGTGTATTAGTCAGGGTTCTTTTGAGGGACAGAACTAATAGGATAGATAGATATATAAAGGAGAGTTTATTAAGTATTAACTCACACGATCACAGGGTCCCACCATAGGCCATCTGCAAGCTGAGGAGCAAAGACAGCCAGTCCGCGTCCCAAAGCTGAAGAACTTGGAGTCGTATTAACCATCACAGAGGGTGTTGTCAGTCTAGAGGAGAAAGGGTAACGTCCTAAAATAAGGTGGTAGCAGAGTGGTCAGCATGGCTGGGGAAGCACCATGGGTCAAAGTAGCCAAAGCCCACGGTTTTCAGCCCTGGTTCTAGAGTCAAATACAAAGCCCCAACTCTCCTGATTATATCCGCCCCCTGCCCCAGGAATGGTTCTGGGGCTCTGCTCAGGGCTGGTGCATACTCCCTCTCTCTGAGGCCTCGCCCCATTAGTTATCAGCTCTGACTTCCACCAGCCACTCCCAGGCCTTTTTCTACAGACCTCGTTATTTTAACAATGACATTCTTGGGGCCCCTGGTGGCAGTTTGTTGCTAATAAAAAAGGTCTGGGTTGCAGATGCTTCCCCCAACTGTGCCCATCTCCCTCTCAGATACTGCGTTAAACCTACTTCAGGACCGGGCAAGGGGGCTCATGCCTGTAATCCCAGCACTTTGGGAGGCCGAGGCGGGCGGATCACGAGGTCAGGAGATCGAGACCATCGTGGCTAACACAGTGAAACCCCGTCTCTACTAAAAATACAAAAAATTAGCCAGGCGTCGGGATGGGCACCTGTAGTCCCAGCTACTCGGGAAGCTGAGGCAGGAAAATGGCATGAACCCGGGAGGCGGAGGTTGCAGTGAGCCGAGATCGCGCCACCGCACTCCAGCCTGGGCGACAGAGTGAGACTCCGTCTCAAAAAAAAACAAAAACAAAACAAAAACAAAAAACAAACAACAACAACAACAAATAACTGACTTCCGAAGCTCGGATGGAACTGATTCATTTTACAGAATCCTGGGACTGGGTCTCCTTTGTTGCCCTACCCACCACCTATTTTTATTGCTTTCTTGGGGCTTAAGAATCTTGACTCCATCGGCCGGGCGAGGTGGCTCACGCCTGTAATCCTGTCACTTTGGGAGGCCGAAGCGGGTGGATCACGAGGTCAGGAGATCGAGACCATCCTGGCTAACATGGTGAAACCCCATCTCTACTAAAAATACAAAAAAACTAGCTGGGCGTGGTGGCACACGCCTGTAATCCCAGCTACTCGGGAGGCTGAGGCAGGAGAATTGCTTGAACCCAGGAGGCGGAGGTTCCAGTGAGCTGAGGTCGTGCCATTGCACTCCAGCCTGGGCAACAGAGTGAGACTCCGTCTCCAAAAGAAAAGAATCTTGACTCCATCTTTCCATACAAGCCTCCACTTTATTGGGAAATGCCAATTACTGAATCAATAAAAGAGATGTGTGCTAATTTGCAGGGCATTGTAAGGCAGAACAGGGACTGGTGCTGAATGTTCCAACTGAAATTAATAAGGAAAAAAACTAGGTAGAAAATTTAAAAGCCAGGTGCAGTAGCATGTGCCTGTAGTCCCAGATACTCTGGAGGCTGAGGTAGGAGGATCACTTGAGCCCAGGGGTTCGAGGCCAGCCTAGGCAACATAGTGAGACCCCCATCTCTTAGAAAAAAATTGTATTGAAATTAAAAATGTTGGGATGGGCAATGAATAAACTTTGCTGTTTTCAGTTTTTGAGATAAAGGAAATTGAATATGGGAATATCTCAAAACAAGGGGAGTTTCAAAGGTGTGTGGTGCCGGAAGAACCATTGTTTGCTGCAGTGAAATAGGCTGAACACGGAGTTTGTGCCCCCAAGTTTGAGACGCTTGCCCAGAGGCTGCACCATTGCCTTGCTCCAGCTGACAAGGGCTTTGGAACGGGCAAAAGTGAGTCCTGGGCCGCACTGGCTTCTAGGCTCATCCGGCCTTGACAGGGGGGACTGAAGGAGGGAGTAAGGGGAGAGGAAAAGAGCTGTTTGGTGGGAAGAGGAAGTCTTAAACACAGTCACGCCCCCAGACACAGGGAGGGAATTAGAGGGTCTCACTTTCAAGAGTCCTCCCCATTTTCATGAAGTCTGTTTTAACATAAAATCAGAGAATCTTAAGCTAAAAAGAGGCAGTCGAGGGCGCTTGGTCCAATCACTACCTAAGAATGTTTGAATCTATGTTCAAATCTCTTCTGCCACGTCCTTGACAAAAGGCTCTGTCTTCTGCTCGAGCACCTCTCGGAACAGATCGCTCGCCACCTCCCAAAGGAGCATAGATGTCGTCGGCAACCCTGGGGAAAGTAAGGTACTTCATCACGCCTTGTGTTCTGCATTTTGTACCTCCGCCTGCCCGTCCCAGCTCAGATGAACAGGGCTTCGGAGCACAGAGCAGCTTGCTCTTCCCAGGATGTCCTTCCAGGCCTCTTCTGCCACTTCTCCCTCACTCCAACCCCCAAGGATCCTCAGCTTTCCTCAGATGTCCCAGTCTTCTGCCTGTCATCACCTGGAAACAACCCGGCATGTTATTGTCCCTACTACCGGGTGATGCGGAGAGCCTCACCTGACCCTCCTGATAGGCCAGGTGTGGATGGAAGACAGCAAGCTGCTCCCTTTACCACAGCCACCATTCCTCTCCTGGGCCCCAGGTGCTCCAGCTGGCTCCTCTCACAGCCGATTAAGCCTGCATCTGGTTGACCAAGACCACAAGCCTTCCTCGGGTGTGCTGACCTTAACTCCAGGCCCTCTGTCTGGCAGGTTTTGCAGATCCCCGGAGGGGCTTCAGTCATCTTCTAGCCAGAGAGTGGAGAGAAGGGGCCAGTCAGCAGCTCGGTCTGTCCAAGGCAAGAGTCAACGTTGACGAAGGAACAGAAAGTAGTGGAGGGCTGCCAGCCCCAACCTGGGGAAACAGAGAGAGGGAGAGCGGTGGGGTGCTGGGAAACGCTGCTCACTGGGAGTCAGGACACCTGGGCCCCATCTCAGCAAGCCTCCCCACCTCCTGTTTGGAACCACTTTTGAGTCCCTCCCAAGGAGAAGGAATCTAGCTGCTCCTGTGCATGGTTGAACTGCCGTCACCACCACGGCCGGACAGGGATGAAGATGGGCCTACAGCTGTGTGTGGCCCGTGGTGGGATTTTTTTTCATTTCTCTGGCCCCATGGCTTATCACAGTGCCTGGGCCATAGCTGTGCTCAGAATCTATCTTTTCGCAAAGCAGTGAGTTAAAGGAATACTGGGACTCGCCAGGGCTCCCATGGCCGACAGATAGCAGAGCCAGAATCCAGGTCTTGGCGAGTCTCCCTCTTCTCATGGCCTCAAGCCAACTCAAGTCCAAATGGGTCAGTGGCAGGTTAGCTCATCCCTGTGTACGCCCTGGGCTGCGTACACAGAACCCGCTCAGTGAGTCCACCCTCACTTCTCATTACTGTGAGCCTGAATGTGTCGTTTTAGCACGTGCATGGGGAGACCACCAGGGTGTAAGGAGAATAGGGTGGGCCAAGTGTGGAAACCCAGCAGTTCATTCTGGGAGGGCACTTGACCTGTGTTTAGCATTTGCTTTTCTTTGCCCTCTTTTACAGTAGGGCGGATCCTTCATAAAATAGAGACATCCTGGTCAGGTGTGGTGGCTCACCCCTGTAATCCCAGCACTTTGGGAGGCCAACATGGGCAAATCACGAGGTCAGGAGTTCAAGACCAGCTTGGCCAACCCTGTCTCTACTAAAAATACAAAACTGTCTCTACTAAAAATACAAAAAATTAGCTGAGTGTAGTGGCAGGCTCCTGTAATCCCAGCTACTCGGGAGGCTGAGGCAGGAGAATGGCGTGAACCCGGGAGGCGGAGCTTGCAGTGAGCCAAGATCGCGCCACTGCACTCCAGCCTGGGCAACAGAGTGAGACTCCGTTTCAAAACAAACAAACAAACAAACAAAAAAATAGAGGCATCCCAAAAAGCAGATGCCAAGCTAACTGCCCTGAAGTTAAATCACTCTCCTGTTTACTCAGAGGAACGCTGTAAACCCTGTCTTTGCAGTTGATGGAAGGCATAAGCTTTATCCCATAAGGGTTCACAGCTGTTGCAGCTCAACCCTCAGCACCCCGCCCCACTTTTGAGGGGCCAGTGGCTTGAATGACAATAGGAAAGTTAATTCTTTAAATATGTATGCCCTTTAGTAATTATTATTTTTCCAAATGCCTTTACTGAGGCATTTTGAAAACCACATCTAGACGGTGAGAGGGGGGCGGTGCAGGGGAGCAGGATCACCTTAAATGATGACAGAAGAAGATTTTAAAGATCTCTCCAGGTCCCTCCACACAGTCCCACACACAGCCCCAGGACGCTGGCTGCCACTCGCTGGGTGCCGGGCTCCATGGTCAGGGCTCTGCTTCCTGTCAGACCTTCTCAGTGACTCCATGAACTGTTCTGTTGCTAGACACACCTTACAGATGAGGAAACTGAGGCTCAGGGCTGTTCAGTATCATTGCCAGCATCACATGGTCATTAAGCATAGAGCCAATATTTAAACTCGCTGTTTGACTCCAGAGCCTGTGCCATTCACCACCGCTCTGGAGTTGGGTCCAGAGCACGGGACGTTTTTTGCATGCCTGCAGTCGTTTAGAAGCTATGAATGGTGTGTGTGTGTGTGTGTTTGTGTGTTTTAGAAAATGTATGTTTTTTAGAAAATGTGAAAACTAAGTTTATTTAATCTGTATTTTGAAAAGTATCAAAAATGAGAAACTTTTTTTTTTTAAGAAACGAAAAAGGCTGGGCACAATGGCTCACACCTGTAATCCCAGCACTTTGGGAGGTCGAGGCAGATGGATCACCTGAGGTCAGGAGTTCGAGACCAGCCAGGCCAATATGGTGAAGCCCTGTCTCTACTAAAACTGCAAAATTAGCCAGGTGTGGTGGCAGGTGCCTGTAGTCCCAGCTACTAGGAGGCTGAGGCAGGAGAATCGCTTGAACCCGGGAGGCAGAGGTTGCAGTGAGCCGAGATCGTGCCATTGCACTCCAGCTTGGGCGACAGAGCAGAGCTCCATCTCAAAAAATAAATAAATAAATAACAACAAATTCTAACTTATCCTATGCTTTAGTCTACCCTTAAACTCTGTTAATATTTTAGCTTCAAGAGGCATATAACACAGGCGAAACTCAGCAAACTAATGAAAAGCCTAGAAAATGATTAATAACTCAACTGACTGGTCAAGGGATGCAGGCTCCCAGGAGTTCCTCAGAAACCCAGGCAGGCTGTTTTCTAGCTCTCATGAGCGAGCCTCTCCCACCTGCCAGGTCTCGCGCTGAGTGCTTTAGCAAGTTATTGCATCGAACCTTTACAGTAACTCATTTCTGATGAGAAACTGGAGTCCAGAGAGGGCAGTTGACTTGCCAAAGCTAAGAAATGAAAGAATTGAGATTTGCACCTGGCCTGTTAGATTCAAGAGCCTGAGTGCTTTCCGCCAGACACAATTCACTGCCAGCGTCCACAGTCCCCGGATAATTCAGCTGAGGGCAAAAGCCAGTGAGTATCATGACCCCTGGGAGAGAACGAGACCAGAGGACAGCTTTAGAAAATGATCCTCTTGCCCCATGAAGAGAAATGCCCACGAGTGACTCAGGACCAGCCTTCAGGTCAGTCCTGAGCCTCTGAGCAGCAGTGAGCAAGGCCAAATGGGCAGAGGAGATGAGAGAATGACCAGCAAAGGCAAGGGCAAGAAGGAAGGGAGAACTATTGGGTCGGACAGAGGTGGTTCGAATCCCAGTGCCTCCAGGTGCTAGCTGGAACAGCCTCAGTCAAATTATTTAACACTAAGCCTCAGTTTCCTCATCTATATATACACATTTTTTTTTTTTGAGACGGAGTCTCGCTCTTGTCATCCAGGCTGGAGTGCAATGGCACAATCTCGGCTCGTTGCAACCTCTGCCTCCCGGGTTCAAGCAATTCTCCTGCCTCAGCCTCCAGAGTAGCTGGGATTACAGGCACCCACCACCACACCCGGCTACTCTTTGTATTTTTAGTAGAGATGATGGGGTTTCACCACGGTGGGCAGGCAGGTCTTGAACTCCTGACCCAGGACATCCACCCGCCTCGGCCTTCCAAAGTGCTGGGATTACAGGCGTGAGCCACCATGCCCAGCCTCCTCATCTATAATTTTATAGATGAATTTACCTGAGAGGGCTCTGCAAGGATTAAAAGAGATGAGAAGCAGAAAGCCCTTAGCAATGTGGTTTGTATACATTATACCAGTTCTTATTAATTTTTAGAAAAATGACAAGAGGAAAGAAAAGAGAAAGAACACAGAAGTGTCAGCATGGGGAGGACTGCCTCTGTGCCTGCCACCCGAAAGCCTCTGGACTTCCCTAGCCCCTGGCTCTGCAGGGCTTTGAAAAGATGTCCGCGCATTTGTTAATTCTTAACCCTAACTTAGTGAAGCAATGCCAGCTGTTGGCTTAGTTCGTGTGGGGATTGGGAAGGGCATCCAGTGACGAGACAAGATCTTCATCCTCCTGGACCTTCCCCCAATCTGGTGAGGGTCATAAGATGTGCACACACGCCACCGCCACCACCTGGGCATGGCTGTCCCATCGGGCTTGACCTGGAGAAGGAGCAGGCTGGGGATATTAGAAGCCATGTGGGCGGCGCTTCATGCCGCCCTTGTGAGAAGGAGCCATGAGGTGGTAAAAGCCCTCGAGTGTTAGTCCCCAAATTCCATTTAGCTCAGTCATGCGCGGTGAACATGTGAATGTCGAGTGTGTCTGACCTTCTGTAAATGTAGAGCATTTCAAGAAAAATCGCAAAAAAAAGGCCACCAGGAAGCCCCTCAGCTTCTTCACTTCTTGACGTCTACCTTCCACTCTTCCCTGAAGCGGTCAGTATCACTCAATGTCTGCTGAACCACCTCTGGCTCCCAGAGAGGGGCGGCAGGTAAGGGGGTGCTTTCCATTCCCAGGGCCGGAAGAGGACAGTCATGCTCCCTGGGTCTCCTTCAGCCTCTTGTGGGGATGTGCCCAGGGCCTACCCACACAGGACACAACCAGACCCAGGGTTTCTGAGGATGGGGTGGGCCCTGGCTGAACATCTCGTGTCCTGGCACTAAGGGTCGTGCCTTGACAAGGACTCCATCACTTCCCTGTTTGAAACAAACAGCTCTTTTGGAGCATGGATACTCCCAGTCAAATGTTTTAGGAGGAAAACAAATTTCATCTTCTTTCCTGATGTGATGTTTTCTATGGGGCTAAGGGTGTGGGGTGCAGGTTTCTGGCTCTGAGGCAGGTCATGTCCTTGCAGGAACAGGGGCGTGCTTATGCGGAAGCTGACTTTATAAATGGCTCACGGTCATGGCCCTGGAAGAGCCTGGCGCCTGCCCGATGTCTGGTCTGGAGAATCCATCAGGTCTGTGCCATGATGCCTGCAGCTGAGAATGAGCCGTCTCACCCTGAGTTCCCTCCACGCTGTCTGCTGGGGTGGAAGGCAGGAACAGCACAGCCTGTGATGGAAGCCTGCCCGTCCAGGGGTGGAGGTATGGGAAGACAAGGTCGTGCACTGGCCTCCCACCTGCGGGGCAGCTTTTGCGCAAGGGCTTCAAAGGTTGCAAGTCACAGTTATTTTCCAAGCCTCCTACCTTCCTTGAAGAGGTGCCCCAGATCCTGTTAGTGTCTTCCCAGCAGATGGGCCCCTTCTCCTGACTCACGGTGTGATCCGGAACTTCCTAAATCTCCTACCTCCTCAGGCTCCAGTTGGCAAAAAGGGAAAGAGGCCACCCTAGTTCTAGCCTTGTGGTCCCCATAGCAGAAATGGAGGAAGGGCTCAGCATTCAGAGTCCCGAGCTTTTACACAAGGCCTCAGAGCTCAGTGCCCAGGCCCGACCTCTGCTTCCAAAGACATAGAAAAGTCAGGATGGAGAGACCTTACATGTGATCTGGCCTATCGCCTCGCACATACCAGCCGAGCTTCCATAATGACATCCACCCTCTATGCAACACTTCCTAAGTGCCAAGTACTTTACTGGCTGGCTTTTTCATGGAATAGTTCACTTAAGCCTCTGGAGTAACATTATAAGCTAGCAGTTATCCATCCTGCTTTCAGATGAGGACACTGGAACTCAGAGACCTTACTGCATTTGCGTTGTTCAATGTCACACTGCCCCTACAAAGCATTGTCAAGGATCCGATTCCATAGCCATTCGATTCCAAGTTTCATGTTCTCTTTTTGTGCTGCTTCTCTGTGCACCCTCCTTAAATACTGGTCTAGAATACTTCCAGTGATGGGAAACTCACTACATCCCAAGGCCACCCACTCTGTCACTGTGCTCTTTACAAAACACTAAAGTCTTTTTAAAGGTCCCACCACCTGGTCCTAATTCTAACTCCCACCAAGTTCCAAAAACCTTATCTGTGTCCTCTGGCCTCCCAGCAGCCTTCCACTGTGTGATAAAGACTCTCGTTCCCCACAGCTCTTCTGGAGGCTGCCCCGCCTCCCTGCACCCCCAGCTCCATAGAGGACAGAAATCCACATCCCCTCACTATTCTCATCTGTTGCCTCTAGACATCATTGTCTGTGCCCTCCAGAGAGGGTTCTGGAACAGATCCTATGGCAGGAGACTTGGGAATCTCATAGGCGGCTTGCTTCATGTTTTACAATGCTATGTTTATTTGTATTATTTTACTTACTTTTTAACTATAAATGTAATCCATGAACCCAGTTAAAAATATTCCAAGAGCACAGGTGGATCTGAGGAAAAAGTAAACATCTCCTCTCATTCTCTTCCAAACCCAGTACCACTCCGCAGAAGAAACCTCTGTTGAAAGTTTCTGTTTTTATTTCTTGTGGTAATTCCTATTATAATTAAAAAAAAAAAGCTTTTATTTTCTTGGCTTATCTTTTATTTTTATTTTATTTTTTGAGACAGACTTTCACTCTTGTCACCCAGGCTGGAGTGCAATGGTGTGATTTCACCTCACTGCAGCCTCCGCTTCCCGGGTTCAAGTGATTCTCCTGTCTCAGCCTCCTGAATAGCTGGGATTACAGGCATGCACCACCACGCCTGGCTACTTTTTGTATTTTTAGTAGAGACAGGGTTTCACCTTGTTGGTCAGGCTGGTGTTGAACTCCTGACCTTAGGCAATCTCCTGCCTCGGCCTCCCAAAGTGCTGGGATTACAGGCATGAACCACCATGCCTGGCCTTGGCTTATCTTTAGATAGTAACGTTTGACTCCCCTTTATGGAGGATTAGGAATTCAGCACCCTCACAACACCTCTTGCCTCTCCATGTCACAGCCCAATTTTATTATTTATATCGCTCTTTTTAATTGTTTTAGTGATTACTCCTATTACTTTCAATAATCTACCTAAAAATCTGCCTTGATTTATTCACTTTATACAGCATTCCTTAACTCCCCACTGTGAAAGGTGAGGGTAGCAGTGAAGCCCTCTTTTTCCTACCTCTCTTGCACTAACTCCTGATGGTCTAATAATGTTTCATAATTTCAAGGTTTGTAACATTTGCATGCTTATTCTGTGGCTATTTAAGTGTTAAAGTTTGAAAACCAATGAACAGCATTGTGAACATATGAACCTTTTTTACTGAAGAACCAAATAATACGATCAGACCTAGAGAGAAAAAGAAAATGTAATTCACTGTCATGATCCCTGTGACATTCTCAGGAGGCTCTTCTATGGAGTGAAGAGTCTAGTGGAGTGTAATGGTTCATTTTATGTGTCCACTTGACTGGGATATGGGTTACCCAGATAGCTGGTAAAACATTATTTCTGAGTGTGTCTGGGAGGGTCCTTCCCGAGAAGAGATTGGCATTTGAATTGGTAGACTAAGTAAAGATGGCCCTGAGCAATGGGGGTGGGCATCATTTAATCCATTGAGGACACAAATAGAGCACAAAGGCAGAGGAAGGGTAATTGACTCCCTCTTCTTCAGCTGGGCCGTCCATCTTCTCCTGCCCTCAGATATTACAGCTCCTGGATCTCAGGCCCTGGGAATCCAGGATTTGCACCAGCGGCACCACCAGGCATTTGACCTCATGGCCTCAGACTGGGAGTCTATACCATCGGATCGCCTGGTTCTCAGGCCTTAAGACTACAACTGAGTCACACCACTAGCTTTCCTGGTACTCCATATTAGAGATGGTATTTCATGAGACTCTTCAGCCTCTATAATCACACGAGCCAATTTTCATAATAAATCTCCTTTTGTGTCTGTCTATCTATCTATTCTATTGGTTGTGTTTCTCAGGAGAACCTTGACTAATACATGGAAATTCTTATTTTTCTTTCCACTTTTTTCACTGCTTCTGGGTCAATTCCAGCTGCACAGTTTTTGTTTTTGTTTTTCTGAGACGGAGTCTTGCTCTGTCGTCCAGGCTGGAGTGCAATGGCATGATCTTTGCTCACTGCAACCTCTGCCTCCCAGGTTCAAGCAATTCTCCTGCCTCAGCCTCCCCGAGTAGCTGGGATTACAGGTGCCTGCCACCATGCCCAGCTAATTTTGTATTTTTAGTAGAGATGGGGTTTCACCGTGTTGGTCAGGCTGGTCTTGAGCTTCTGACCTCAGGTGATCCACCCACCTCGGCCTCCCAAAGTGCGGGGATTACAGGTATAAGCCACTAGGCCTGGCTTGTTTTTTTTGTTTTTTGTTTGTTTGTTTTGTTTTTTTGTTCTTGTTGTTGTCTCTCATGTCATCCTCCTTTAAAATTCTTTTTTAGTTTTGCTAGAGTACTTTCTCAAAATCTGTTTTCATTTAAGAGGCATGACTGGTAACTGTGGTAGGCTCCCAAAATATATTCACATCCTAATCCCTGGAGCCTGTATTAGTTTATGTGGCAAAAAGGGGTTTTTGCAGATGTGACTAAGGATTTTGAGATGGGGAGATGATCCTGCATTGATCAAGTGGGCCCTAAATACAATCACGGATTTTGAGATGGGGAGATGATCCTGCATTGATCAAGTGGGCCCTAAATACAATCACAAATATCTTTACAAGAAAGAGGTAGATGGTGGTTTCTCACACAGACACAGACGAGAAGGTGATTTGAAAATGGATCAGGGAGAGATTTGAAGATGCCAGCCTTAAAGATCAGAGTGGCGCAGCCATAAGCCAAAGAATGCTTGCTCCCAGGAGAGTTGGAACAGGGAAGGGAGGGTTCTCTCCTAGAACCTCCAGAGGGAGCCTGGCACTGCCTATGCCTGGATTTTGGCCCAAGGATACTAACTTCAGACTTCTGTCCTCCAGGATGATGAGAGAATACATTTCTGGTGTTTTAAGCCACCAGGTTTGTGGTAATTTGTTACAGCAGCCACGGAAAATGGATAGAGGGATAGAATAACATTGTAATTTCCTACACACCTGAAGATGACTTTCTGAGCACTGCCCTCTTATTTCCAATTTGAAAGGGTATAAAATTCTACCTCCTATATTAAAGATCATTTTTCTTTAGAATTTTCAGGACATTACACTATGGATGTCTAGCATCCAGGTTAGCAGATGAAAAGAAATCTCATGTCAGCCTGAATCTTGTTATTTTTCAAAATACATATTTTCCCCTGCTCTGCAAACTTACATGCTTTTTATCTTTATCCTTAGAGTTCTGTTGTTCCATCAGTGTGCCTTTAGTTCATAAATCCTTGACATCTGTGGACTGTTTCTATCTGAAGACTCCTGCCTTCTTCAGTTCAGGAAATGTTTCTTCTATTTGTTTTATGTCCATTTTCTATTAAAACTTTTATTAAACAGATATTGAGCCTTCTGATCTATTTTTTATTTCTCTTGACTTTTCTCTGATATTTTCTGTCTTTGTACTTTTGCTCCATATTTTGGAAATTTCCTTTCCAAATGACCAATTTGGTTCTCAGTCTTGTCTGTTACATTATTTAGCTTATCCCATTGAATTTTTGATTTCACCAGTCATGCTTTGAATTTCTAGATCTTTGTTTCTTGTTCTTAGACAACTTTTCATGTAGCAGACTACTTTTTTTTTTTTAGATGGAGTCTCGCTCTGTCTCTAGGCTGTAGTGCAGTGGTGTAATCTCGACTCACTGCAACCTCCGCCTCCCAGATTCAAGCGATTCTCCTGCCTCAGCCTCCCGAGTAGCTGGGACTACAGGTGCACACCACCACGCCCAGCTAATTTTTGTATTTTTTGTAGAGACGGGGTTTCAGCATGTTGGCCAGGATGGTCTTGAACTCCTGACCTTGTGATCCACCCACCCCGGCATTCCAAAGTGCTGGGATTACAGGCGTGAGCCACCGTGCCCGGCCATAGTAGACTACCCTTGCATTATGGGTACAATTGCCTCTTGGTCTCTCTGAGGACACTATTTACAATTTTTTAAAATGTTCTTACTAGTTTCTCGAATTATGTCTGATTCTTCCAGGGCTAGCTGGCTTTTATTTACGATTTTAGTGTCCCTCAAATGTCAAGAGAAAGTAGGCAGAAGGGTGTGAGTTCAGAAAACACACTTGAATTTCAAAACAGGGGCACATGTACAGTTTGGAAACTATATGTATCCATGAAGAGATAAACATACCCCACAGTTTGAGGAAACTCCAAAGGTGATTCTGTTGCAAGTCATGCCCTACCCCCTACCAACACTCCATCTCCATCCACACACTTTGAGAATCAGTGGCCCAAATCAGTGATCTGAAAGAACATTGAAATCCACTAGAGAAATTTTATAAAGTATCTGGGCCTAGGCATCCCGAGGTAAAGCTAGTGCATGCTCAAGATTGTGAATCCCTGGAAGAGACTCTCCGTGAGGCCTTGTCTTTGTAACTGTGGTCCATGGACCAGCAGTGTCGGCATGGCCGTGGAACGCATTAGATGTACAGAATCTCAGCCACCTCCCCTGACCAATGTTCCAAATCAGACTCTGCGTTTAAAAGAGTTCTCAGCGACTGGTAGGCACATTAAAGATGGCAAGCACCGCTTTATGGGAGATTATAAAGCAGTGTGGTATATTTCGAGTGGGACCTCCAGAGCCTGGTAGAGCTGAACTTGAATCCCGACTCTTGCTTAACTAATTCATGAGCACTGGCTACGGAGCACTCAGCACAGTGCCTGCCGCTGCCAGAGGCTCGACAACATTCTTCCCTCCCTCGGCTACTTCTTCCAAGATTCTTTTTCAGGTCTAAGAGAGTGTGGCTCTTCAGCAGAAATATTGCTCCAATGCCTTCATTCCTCTCCTGTCTGTAAAGCAGCTGATTGATCACACTCTTTGATCTTTCCCCTCCTGGTACCATCATGTCACTCTCTCTAGCACTGTCTTAAACGATGGCTTCTGGTCTCACTTGCAAAACTTAATATCGAAATGCTTTTGATATTCAAGCTTCTTTGAAGTCAACCCAATCTGTATTCCAGAGTTAAAAAGACGTTCCGCATCATAGCTCTTCCGCATAGGAATCTGGAGTGTCTGTCGGAAAGACAGCTGTGCTCTCTGCTCTGCTGGTTCCATTTTCCCTGCGAGCTCCCTGAAGAAGCATGGAAATCAATTCCACATCAGATGACACCTTCCTGCGGCTGCAATTCATGTTAAGGACACCTTTGATTCAGTACCAATTCGCTCTTATGGAGCTCACAGCGAACTTCCTCTTGTACTTTCTAATGTGTCCACAGTCCCCCAAGCCACGCTTGAAGCTTGGGTTCAAGACAGAGATGTCTGTTTCTGTTTTACAAATGAGCAAGCAACTACAGAGAGGCTGGGACACTTTCCAAAGAAGAAGCACACAGGATTTTGATGAGCCTAAGTTTCTTAACCAGATCAGTGTTCCAAGAAAATGAGAGGAAATCCTGTCTCCAGCAGCTGGTAGCATCAGGTCTGGAGATAGTTAACCAGCCAGCGTCCCCTTCCTGATGATCCAGGCACTTCAGGAATCACCATCTGCAGCTGGTGAAAGCAAATCACCAGGTGACCGTTTCTAGGAAGAACTCTTGCTCTCTCTTTGTCTTCCTCTCTCTCTGCTCTCCTCCTCGTGCTAACTCAGGGGGCACTCTCTTTCCCAAGTCATAGACACAGAGCTTGCTTCACACATGGGTACTCATCACTTGTCATAATCGCCCAAGGACCCCGAAAAGGGTCACACAATGTGTGCTCATCCCAAATCTGCTCTCTCTCTGTCTCTGTCTACCTCTGCCTGTCTATGTCTGTCTGTCTGTCCATCTCTATCTCTCTTCCTCTCTCTCTTACATACATACACACACTTACAGGAAAACCACCTAGAGCTTCTCTCAACCGCTTTTGGGTAGGACTAGAGGGCTGTCCCGTTGGCAGAAGAAAAATGGGGAGAAGCCATTGCTCCACTATGTTAGAACAATGTTCCTAAGTCTTTAACATGCACACGAATCTCGGTGGTGGGGAGGGTCTCGTTCAATGTCAGATTCTGGCTCAGCAGGCCCATGGCCGGGTCTGAAATTCTGCATTTCTAATAAGCTTCTAGTGGTGCTGAAGCTGCTGGTCTATGGGCCACATGTTGAGTAGCAAGAGATTAGAATGAACTCCCCATCCTGTGGGGATCTGTAGGGGTTACAAGAGGAGGCAGAAGTAGCCCAGGAGAGAGAGCCTGCAGGATGCTGCCTGTTGAGGATGGATGCCCAGAAGGCCCGTGTCTCCTCGTGATTCTGCCACTATGCCTGCTCCATCAATTCAGAAGATGGATACTGACAAGATACAATTAATTTAATGTATTCGGCAGAATGTGTCAGGAAGTCAAAGAAAAAACTCCATGCACATCTCAGTAAGGACTGTTAAGACATTTGATAACATTTACATCGATTTCTGAAATAAAGGGAAAATATACTCCCTTTATGTGATAATATCTCTTCTAAACCAACTTCAAACATAACACCTAATGGCCGTTACTAGAAACAATCTTATTAAAGTCAAGGACAGGCAAGAATATCTGTTAATTAACACTCTTCTAAAATGTGGGACCAAAGCATATAAACCAGAAATAAAAAGTGTAGCTATAGAAAAGAAAGAGGAGACACAGTTATAATTTGCAGATGGTATAATCATCATCCCATAAAACCTAAGACTCATCGGAAAATTCTTGGAATTAATGAAAGAGCTTGATGAAGTAATAGAATACATAAGAAGCATAAAAAGCAATAACTTTCATGCACACATATCTAGTGATCAGTTCAGGAATATGTGTGAAAGTTTCCTTTCACACAGGACAATGAAAATAAGACCAAAATGTAGAAATTAACGTCAATTGTTCATTTTAATTTTAATTAGTTAACAATCAATAAAACATAAAACTTTACAAAGAGATATAAAAGACTTGGGTGTGGTGAGGACACCCGTGCTTCCAAATTTTGTTGCTGTTGTCTCTTCTGCTGTACTATTTGTCCTTGTACATTTATGCCTTGAAAAAATCCAATATGTTGTCTCTAATGTTATCAGACAGCAATCACCTAAGGGGCCTGGATGAAATAAACCACCGGTATTGACTGTATATATTACAGCGCAAATCCACTACCAAGAGAAATGAGGAGGGAGAAGAAAAAAGCAGGGGATGGGAGGAAAAGAGAGTGTGGTTTAGGCCATAGGGGGGTTTTGTGGGGGGAGGGGAACGTGGGATATTTTTTCTCTTAAATGACATCTTCTAAGAAGGTGCATCTCCTTTGCAAGAATGTATCTCCTTTGCAAAGCAAGCTGACACTAAGTAACAAGAGTCCTGAAAGTATTCAAACTCTTTAACCCAACAATCTCACCATTTGAATCTATCCCAAGGAATAACTTTAAAATCTCAAATAAACCTCATAACAAAGATGTTCACCAAAACATATTTATGATAACAAAAAAATGAAGATAATTTAAATGCCCAACAGTGGAAACGTTTCAGGAGCCTATAGTGCATCTATTTGGTAAGATATGTTACACAATCATTGAAAACAATGCTTGCCAAGTGTGATAAAAACACAGGAAACATTCACCTTCAACAAAAAGGCTGCATAAAATTCAATATGTACCATCCTCAAAAACATTAAAAAGCTTTGCCTAGAAAAGGAATGAAAGGACATGCCCCAAAATGTTAACACTGAGTAGTTTTAATTTTCTCTGTTTCTACTTTTCTAAAATGAGCAAGTATTTCCTCTTAAAGTATACAATCCAATGGTTCAGTATATTCAGTCTGTGCAACCACTGCCAACATCAATTTTAGAACATTTTCATCATCTCAGAAATAAACCCTATACATTTTGGCTATCACCCTCAGCCCCCAATCCCCTCAGCCCTGAGCAACCACTAAGCTCTGGGTCTCTTTATAGATTTTCTTATTCTGGATATTCCGTATAAATGGAATCATACAATACGTGGCCTTTGGTGACTGGCTTCTTTCACTTCCTTCAAGGTTCATCCGTGTTGAGGCATGTATTAACACGTTATCCCTTTTGATGGCCAAATAATATTCCATTGTATGGATGTACCATATTTTGTTTATCCATTCATCAGTATATAGGCATTTGGGTTATTTCTACCTTTTGGCTATTATGAATAATGTGGCTCTAATCATTTATGTACAAGTTTTTGTACAAAATGACAAATATTTTCATTTCTCTTGGTCATATCCCTAGGGAATAGAATTGCTAGGTCATATGGTTACTCTCTGTTTACTCTTTTGAAGAATGGCCAGACTGTTTTCCAAAGTGTGTCCCCCATTTTACATTCCCACCAATAGTTTATGAGGGTTCTGTATATCCTCACCAACTCTTATTGTTATCTGTCATTTTTATTATAGCCTTCCTATTGGGCATGAAGTGGTATCCCATTGTGGTTTTGGTTTATATGTCCTTGATGGTTAATGGCATTGAGTATCATCCATGTTCTCAATGGCACTTTGTATATTTCCTTTGGAAAAAGAATAAACACTTATATCCTTTGCCTGTTTTTTAATTGGGCTATTTGTCCTTTTATTTTATTATAGAGTTGCAAATATTTCTTCTTGCTTTGATGTTGTTATTTTTTATCGGGCTTTTTTTTTTTTAGACATTCTTTTGATCTTTTGACAAATCAGAGAGCCCAGCTCAACTTCTCACACACTCTCCAGGTATTTTTTAAGAAACGAAACATTTTGGTACAAGCCAAAATGTTGTTCTCTAGGTAGCAACTAATTGTGGCAGACATTTGTCTGTTTTGTGCTTGTTGTTGGTTTGATGGCCCAGCATCTGGAACCCTTCTTGTGTTTGTGAATTTACTACCTCACGAGTATTTGTAGGAAGCAGAGCCCTTCCTCCACGATGGATGCCAAGAAGGCCAGATTTGTGCTTTTTCCAGTGTCTCCTGCAGCTAGGACACGAGAGCATGGCTTAGACTCAGCCAGTCAGATTCCTACCTGCCCCAGATGTGTGCTAGGATCTGCTGAGGGGAGGCAGGAGGGTCACCAGGAAAAACATTGCAGGGATGGCTGGACCTGTGATGGTAACATTGTACAGAGGGGTGGCAGCAGGGGCAGCAGTGTGAGTGCCCAGCGTCACAGGTGCTGGTGGCAGTGGAGTGGCAGCCATGCCAGCTGAGGCTCTGTTTCCCAGCAGATGTGACAGCGGCATCCTCTCTGCCTGGTTCTGAGCTGTGGTTTGGTGTAAACCTGAGTGCTGCTAGCCTTTCTGCTCCAGCCCATTTTATAAGCTCAGTCCTGCATCTTTCCCAGTGATATGGTAAAACATCCAAGATTGGGAAGTTTCTTTTTGTTTTAAATTAGCATAATTGCTTTCTACCATTGCTATTAAGAAGCTTGACTAGCCAAAGATGATGTTCCTTTTCCTGAGAAATGCCACATGCAATGGGACACTCAGAATCGAAAGAGATAACAACCACTTTGGACTGTATTTAGTATGAGAAGCTCAAACAGATGCTAGGCTCAACTGATCCCCAACAAATATTCTAGTTGTCAAAGCAACCCCTGCAGGCACCAAAGCACTCCAACCTAGACACAACCTGGGTAAGAATGATTTACTGTTGTACAGAGAAATAGTTTAAACACACAGAAGCAAAAGAATGTCTTGTCTACGGTGGTACAGAGTCCTGATGTATGAATCCAAAATATGGCCCTTATAGCATCGGGAAGTAACCAGTTTCGTGGCCCAGCTGGACCAAATGCTGGTATCGACTGGGTGTGTTATAGGCAGAACGCATGATTCTCAGGTGGCAGCTAGCCTCCACGATGGCCCCTAATGATTCTAATGTCCTGGCATTCAAACCCTATGTGGTCTCCCTTCTCACGTTGAATCAGAGCTGCTCTGGATGACAAACAGAAATGACAGAAGCTACAGTGCATGGCGTCCAACGCTAGGTCATAAAAGGTACTGCAGCTTCCTCCTTGGCCTTTGGATGGCTCACCCAGTATGGGGAAAGCTGGCCACTGTACTGGGAAGACACTCAAGCAGCCCTGCAGGCTGGAGAGGAACTGAGGCTCCCACCAACAGCCAGTCCCCAGTCCCCCGCCATGACAGTGAGCCACACTGTCCTCCAGCATCAGAAAAGCCTGTAGAGGACTGCAGCCCTGCCTGACATCTGATCACAACCTCTGGAGAGACCCCAAGCAGGAACTGTCCAGCTCAAGCTGCCCCTGCCTTCTGGATCCTCTAAAGGTTGGGTGATTTGTTATGCAGAAATGGATACATAATACACCAACTAATCTTCCATCCAGTTCCTTTCTATTTTGGGAAAACCCAACAAATTCCACTGCATGGGCAATGAGAACACTCCAAAACTACTCATTCAGCAACTTGTATATTTAAGAATGCTGTTTTTCAAGTGTGGTGCATTGCTCTGCAGAACTGGCATTTTAAAAATAAAATTGGATTCATTTCCCGTAGACATGTTGCTGGTAATGTTCTGGAGAGTTGTTTCTCTTTCTAGAAGGGTTGGAGGTATAGAGAGTGCTTCCTGGTTAGTGCTGGAGCAAAGGAATGCTATGAAAAGAGATGGGTACGGGGAGGAAGGCCAAATATAGAAGCCGCTGCTTCAAGGGTCAGGATTGCAGACCTGGCCAGGACTCAAGTGGTCCGAGATATCCATACAGCAGCATGGGTCTCTCTCTCAAGGGCCCTGAATCTGCTCCCATTCCTAAGACACCGCAATTTAATAAAATCCTCTTTAAGCCCATCGCAGTGTACTTTAAGCCTGTGCTGTGCAAAGCTCTGAGATGATTTACAGTGAAAATTATTTACCATCCCCAGCCTGAAGAAGCCTCTTTACCCAGAAAAAAAAATACTTTAAAAACCTATAGACTCTAACAACACTACGCTTAGAAAAAAAAAATGTCAACCGTGATTAAGCATGTCTTATGTCGTACTCAAGTAGCTGTGCAGTTCGGCGGGCAGAACTGTAATTAACAATTAAGTCAATCAACAAATATGTATTTGTCTTTAGAAATGGGCCAGTTTAGCAACGCTCTAAAATTGTCAAAACATCCTCCTTTACTCAACAACCACACCCCAGCTACCTCACTCCCATACACACCTAACACTTTGTGACTTTGCGAAATAAACATGGCACAAATTTTTTTGAATACAGGATAGAGAGTCTTTCATTCTAGCAAGGACTGGATGGGCTGCATCCTTTGGACATGCTCCATAATGTTGGATTTTGCCCCAGACTCCTGCTCCAGGACCTCTCCCCCATCCCACCCCACCCACAGGTGCTCCCAGGGTTGCCCTTAGCAAATCAGAAGGTGGCCCAGCTTCATGCCTTTCCCCCAGGACCAGTCTCGGTAAATGGGCACAGCTGCCTCATGCATTCGGCGGCACTCTGACCTTTTCAAGGTACCCCCAGCTGTCTTGCCCGGAGTCAGGTCCTTAACACATTTACAAATAGTCTTCGCCAGGATTCTCAAGCAGTCAGCCCTTTTCTTCCTGAGAAAGAAGAGACTCTCGGGCTTCCGAACCCTCCAGAGCTGCTACGCATCAAGGACAAGCATCACCGAAGGGTCTCCTGTTGTGCATTTCTCCAAGATCCTTTGCAAGTTAAACAGTAAGTTCACTTCAGCCACGCCAACACCACTCACAGTCACTGGAGAGAAGCCAGGCGGAGCCTCAGCAAGGACATTTGGGCCCAGTTACCCTTGACTCGTTGGACACAATGCTGACCTCTCATCCCTGAGGCAACCCCAGCTCTCCCTGTCTCCATCCAGAAGGGTGAGTCTAGGTCAGTCCAGCAAATGCCAGTTTACAGAAAGCTGAGAGACCAATTCACCAAGAGACAATTTGCAGAGCTCAACTTGCCAAGCAAACACATCGCCAAACTTATCTAATTTGCTTATTAGAATGTTCAACAGGGCTATTCAGCATCACTAGTGGGAACCATTAAATTTTGGTAACTGATGATGAGATACATAGAAAAGTATATTTCAGCTGCAGCAACCAATTTTTTTTTTTTTTTTTTTTTTTTTTTTGAGATGGAGTCTCATTCTGTCTCCCAGGCTGGAGTGCAGTGGCGCAATCTCAGCTCACTGCAACCTCCTCCTCCTCCCGGGTTCAAGCAATTCTTGTGCCTCAGCTTCACACGTAGCTGGAATTTACAGGCATGCACCACCATACCCAGCTAATTTTTGTGTTTTTAGTAGAGACGGGGTTTTACCATGTTGGCCAGGCTGGTCTGGAACTCCTGACTTCAGGTGATCCACCTGCCTCGGCCTCCCAAAGTACTGGGATTACAAGTGTGAGCCACCATGCCCAGCCGGCTTTTCTAATGAAATTTTTCACTTGTCACTGATATTTTGGATGAGATTGTTTAGGCTAATGCTGACTTCCCGCAAACACTTTGAGGTTTAAGTCTGGATTATTATCCAGTGGAGTAAGTGAGCCCCTGGCCCTGGCCTCTCCAGAACCATTCAGTTTCCAATTACACCCACCCACAGAACATGCCCTCATTTCTGTGCGATCTGCCTCCCTGGTGCCTGTGCCCCTGGGCTCTATCAAGGTGGGCCTTGGCAACAGCTGTATCAGCCAACACAGCTGGCTCTGCTAGGGTCTGATGGTCTCCATGGATTGCTGAGAAAACTCCCAAGGGGGCTACAGCTAGGCCCCCTTGCCGACTTTGGGGGGACTGTGGCTGAAAGGCACGGCAGCTTGCCAGGCCCCTCCCTTGTTACCTTCCATGGTGGAGCCTGAAAAGTGGAAAATGCTCGCCTTCCCAGCTGCGCCTTCATGCAAGGGTGACCATGCAACCCAGCCCTGCAGTTAGCAGACAACCACATGGAGGAGCTCTGTTTAGGGACTTCTGGATGGTGGTATGCAGGGGGATGGTGGCAGTGAGGACCGTCCCCACAGATACCAAAAAGATGGCCTGCATTGTCTGTAAAGAGCTGAAAACAGTGATAGACCTGTGTGAAGGTCAATCTGCTTTTCTTTCTCACCATGTGCCTGCAATTCTAAATAAGGTCAGTGCTGTACCCCTTGTTCCACAGCCCGACCTGAAGAGCTCTGGAACTAGTGAAGGAGATGAATGCATTTGCAGGGAGAGTGACCACCTTCCCTCCAGTCGGCTCCACCTTCTTCATGACAGCAGCCTTCACAATGACAGCAGCCTTCACAATGACAGCAGTGACGAGGGCACCCCTCAAGGCTTCAGACCTTCAGGGCCTTAGGACTCATGTTCTGTTTTCTGGCTACACTAACGGAGCTAAGGGAAGGAGCCTCTGCTTCCGCTGCTCAGATGCTGGCTGGTGCCCGCCATGCCTTCATCATTCTCACATCTGATTCAGGGGCTCTCCCTTTCTCCAGGCTTGGGTTCGGGGAACCTGAGGGCCACTATCTGCTGGGTTCCATCAGCAAGTCCAGCAGCACAGCTGATCTGACAGGTGTCACATGACTCACAGGCAGGCAGGCTCAGTGGGACAAGTCCTAAACTAGGACTCAGGGGACCGCCTGGTCTCTGTTGTCTACTAACCAGCTGTGTGACCTTCAATAGGCCACTTCCCTTTTCTAAGCCTCAGTTTCCATAGCAGTAAAACCAGAGGGCCCTTCTCTAGAGAGTTCTTCCCGCCCTGACAGTCTCTCTCTCTCTCTCTCTCTCTCTCTCTCTCACACACACACACACACACACACACACACACATATCTGGGTGGGTATGTTTTACAGAAGTACTGTATTGCTCTACATTTTGTAACATGCTCTTAAGTTTTTGAGAAAATGATATACAGAAGGATTTGTAACTTCTTTGCTATTCACTCAAATGAATCCATTTTGTGTTTTAGTAGCTTCAGATCACTTCAACAGCCAATGCAAATAATCAAGACAGAAGCAGTGCAACCTCTTGGAGTTGGCCTATTTCCAGTGGTACAGCCAAACGCAATGGCATTATTTACCCAAATTGTTGGGCAACCAGCATGCACTGGAAGCAGATGCCAGCAGACGCCTTCCCGGACGCCAAGTCCTAGGAGTTGGCTTAGGCCCTTAGCTCAGGATGGAGGCAGCACCCACTGCATTGACACAATGCTGTGGGGTGATCCAGTCCTCAGCAACTACAGGGAGGATCCAGCCACTGGGGCAGACTGCACTTCAGGGACATCAGAAGCGGAAACCTGGGCTGGGGAGGTGCTTCCAAAGGAAACACCTGGAAGAGGGAGAAAGGATAAAAGAACCACCATCTAGATTAGGAAAGCAAGGCAGTTCCTGCCACCCAGAATAGTGTGTGCTGCTTGTTTGGAAAATGCATGATCATTTTCAGAGTCCTGAGGCCCGTCAGAGACTTTATGTCCAGCAGTGCCGATGGCCTGGTTCTCAGTCAAGGTAGTGGTCTGAGCTGCCATGGTCGGTCTCCTGCTCCAAACACATAGAAATTCTAGGTAAAGTACAGAAAATTAAATTTCAAAACCTATAACGAAGCTCAGAAGCTAAAAAAGCATCTGTGGATGCTCAAATAAAGAGGAGTCTTGCAGTGGTAATCAGGATTGAGCTACACCCTGTGTGTGCCTTAGAGGCTGGGTTTAGTTTTCAAGTTATCAGAAATCATATTGAGCTATAGAGATAGTTTATCACCCTGCATCTTTTAAAAACCAGATTAGGATATAATTTACATACAGTGAAATTCGCCCTTTTTAGGATATAATACTGTGAGTTCCGGCAAATAAATACAGTCATAGAACTACTACCCCCGTCAAGGCATGGAGCAGTTCCATCACCACGAACGTCCTTCTGCCCTTTGTAGCCAACTCTTCCCCCTCCCCTGGAAACTACTGGTCTATATTTGCCCTTCTATTTCTGCTTTTTCCAGAATTCCAGAGAAATGGAGTCATACGGTGTTTAGAAAGGCTGCAGCTTTAGTTCTTGCCCAGGAAGTGACACCAAGGCCACAGCCTTGCCGACAGCAGGAATACTAGGACTGAGTTCCCCAAATGAAACCAGGAGTCAGGAAAGGGCTCTCCTGTTTAGGAACTGGGATTAGAAAAACTGCTTGCTGGCCTGAATATTAGGCACAAAAGTGGGTCACTTACCTTGGACCATGAGGGAAACTGTCACCAATAAAATATCTGAACCTCTAGGTTGTATGACACAAAATTATGGACAGGTATTCTCATTGCTACCAGCACGGTGTGGATGTCCCGAGCCTAGAAACTCACATAAATACTGGTCTAGAAACTGTTTGCCCTTTAGAGGCAACAGATGCAATCACAATGTCATTCCAGAGGAACATCTCTGCAATCCAGGCATATGCAGGACCCCTCAGGAGATAGCTTCACCCACATAAATACAAAGCGCGCAAAGAAATCCAAAGCTCTGAGCAGTAAACAGCAGATTCAACCAGAAAACATGTCAGAAATGTAAAATTGTATAGAAGTCTGTGAGGGACTTTAAAATAGCTATATTTGAAGTATTTGAAGAACTCAAAGAAAGAATAGACTGATAAGAGGCCGGGCGCGGTGTCTCATCCCTGTAATCCCAGCACTTAGGGAGGCTGAGGCAGGCGAATCACTTGAGGTCAGGAGTTCAAGATCAGCCTGGCCAACATGGTGAAACCCCGTCTCTACTAAAAATACAAAAATTAGCCGGTGGTGGCTGCAGATGCCTGTAATCCCAGCTACTCGGGAGGCTGAGGCAGGAGAATTGCTTGAACCTGGGAGGTGGAGGTTGCAGTGAGCCAAGATTGCACCACTGCACTCTAGCCCGGGAGACAGAGCGAGACTCTATCAAAAAAAAAAAAACACAGAAAGAAAGAAAGAATAGACTGATAATGCAAAAACAGAATATTGTAGGAGACAATTACAGAAATGAATAATATAATAATTGGTTTTTAAAAACTAATGGTCAAGTTAAATCATCACTAGACAACTGAAAGAGGAATTAATGAGTAGGATGATAGAGCAAAGGAGATCACAGATATATAAAGAGATATGAAATCTGAGAGAGGAGTTCAGAGATGTGGAGGAGAGAGACTTATGCCTAACAGGAGCGTGAGAATACAGAGATGGGGAAAGAGGCAATATTTAAAGAGATGATGGCAGAAATATTTTTCAGAGATTAGGAAAGACCTATGGCCCCACATTAAATAAGCATACTAAGCCCAAAGCAGGATAAATAGACATAAATTCACATCTACAAGGAAAAAAAATGGTAAAAGCTAGTTTAATGAAGAGATAGATCACCTACAAAAGAATGGCTATCAGATTAACGGCAGAGCTTCCTTCATCAACATAGATATCCTAAGACAATGACTTATATCTTCAATGTGCTAAGAAAAAATGTCTTCCAAGGGGATTATAGTGTAGAACAGGTCCTCTCCTTCTCCTCCAGTATGTCTACACTTAAGAGGTCAATAGGGCCAGGTGCGGTGGCTCACGCCTGTAATCCCAGCACTTTGGGAGGCCAAGGCAGGTGGATCACAAGGTCAGAAGTTCAAGACCACCATGGCTAACATAGTGAAACCCTGTCTCTACTAAAAATACAAAAATTAGCCTGGCATGGTGGTGGGCACCTGTAATCCCAGCTACTCAGGAGGCTGAGGCAGGAGAATCACTTGAACCCAGGAGGTGGAGGTTGCAGTGAGCCGAGATCGTACCACTGCACTCCAGCCTGGGTGAGAGTGAGACTTCGTCTGAAAAAAGAAAAAAATATTCAATGTACCTGTGAAGGAGCTCTTGTTTATTGAGCATGTCCCTTTGAAGAAATGACTGAAGAGAGTCATTCCTCCGAGAGGTAGGAGCTGGTGGAATGGGACCTGCTAAGTCCACATTACCCAGGGACTGAGACTCGCTCCTTGAATTCTATATTCAAGTAAACTGGCGTTCAAGATATGCCAGGTGGATCAGCTAGACAGAGGTGAGCTAAATATTTGTTTAGATATATTAAGATAGTTTAAGGCCCAGAGATCCCCTCTGAAAGAACTTGAACTAGTCAACAATTCAGAGGGGAAATAGAAAGTGAACCCAGAAGAAAAGCACGACTGGAAAAAAAAAAAAACAAGTGTATTAATTTGCTAGGGCTGCCATAACCAAGTACCACAGAGTGGGTGGCTTCAACCGCAGACAGTTATTTTCTCCCAGTTCTGGAGGCTGGATGCCCAGGGTCAAGGTGTCAGCAGCTCTGGTTTCTGAGGACTCTCTCTCTGGCTCGCAGACGCCGGTCTTATTGCTCTGTCCTCACACGGCCTTTCCTCTCTTTGCAGACATGTGTCTGTGTCCAAATTTCTTCTTCTTTTAAGGACATCCATCATATTGGATTAAGGCCCATTCTAAACACCTCACTGTAACTTAATTACCTCTTTATTTTAAAGACCCTATCTCCCAATACAGTTACATTCTGAGCTATTGGGGCTTCAACATATGAATTTTGAAGAAACACAATTCAACCCATAACAGTAAGTGTGTACAAAGAAATTAGTAAGATCTAAATAAGTATTGAATCATCATTATCACCATCATCTCATCATCATCATCATCATCAATTTGGGAGATTTAAAAACATGAGGAATTAAAATAATAGAAATAGTAAAAAATGTGAGCAGTGAAAGGTTGTAAGTAAGAAATTTTGAGTGTATAAAATTACTGTTTTTATTCAGGAGAAGGATAAAGTGTTGATTAACTTCAGGCTTTGTTCAAAAAATACACAGTGAAGTATGCATATTATAAGCTTTAGGAAAATAGTGAAAGATCAGAAACACATGCATAATTTTCAAATCAGTAGAGGGCAAAAGAGGGAAGAAAATCTAATCAGTCTCACAGAAAGCCACAGAAAAGGAGTGGGAAAGGCAAAGAAACAATACATGAAGAATGCAAAATAAGATAGACAAAAATCCAAATCATCACAGTAATCACAGAAATCGTAAATGGATTAATTTTTCCTATTAAAAGATAGACACTCGGAGTACACTTCCAATGTCCAGATTATGCAGTTTGTAAGAAATGCACTAAACATAATGACAGAGCTTGAAAATAGACATAAAAAGATATACCAGGGGTATCCGTTATAAAGCTTTGGTTACAGGGTACAGAAGAATCAACCAAATTGGTTAATAATAAAGTAGATTTATTAGTTTAGATAAACAGACGTTGCAGAGGCAGGATCAGCTTCAGAGTAGCTTGATTCAGCAACAATCTCATTAAGGACCGAGCATCTTCCTATCTCTGCTCTCCCTTCCATGGTATCAGCTTTACTTTTAGGCTGGCTTCCCTTTGGGAGAAAATTGACTGTAGGATTTCTAGGTTTCATCTCACCTATCCCATCAAGAAAATTCGAGGCAATTCTAAAGAACAATAAGAGATTAGGGAATATGGCTTAACCAACAGGATATAAACAATTCTTATAAAGCTATACTAATAAAACTGGGTGATATTTATAGAGCAATAAAAAATAGACCAAATTAATAGATCAGAGAGCTTAGAGACTACATATATATAGATATACTTGGTGTTGGGACAATGGCTTTCCATGTAAAAGAATAAAATCAGGTTCCTATCTCATAGCATGCACAAAAATAAATTCCAGTTTGGCTAAAGCCTATATATTAAAAATATAACTTTTAAGCTACTAAAAAAAAATCTTTATGACATCAGGTAATAAAAAGCTTTCAAGATATAAGAGAACAAACCGTTTAAAAATTCATAGATTTGTCTATATCAAAATCAAAATGCTTTATGACAAAAAATGATAGATTAGAAGTTGTTTACAATATGAAATACCAAAAAGGTAGTCTTCAGAATATATAAAGACCTTCTACAACTCAATAAGAAAAAGGCGCTCAACCCAATAGAAAGAGGGTAAGAGATTTAAAGGGGTAATTCACAGAAGAGGAAATCCAAGTGGTCATGAATACATGAAAAGACGCTCAACTCATGGAAGCACTCACAGAAAACAAGTTGAAATCTTCTCATATCATGTCAATCTCCATATTTTAGAAAAAAATTAAAAGTCTGAAAATACTAATCTTTGTGAAAATATGAGGAAAATGGGAACTTTCAGAAACACTGCTAGTGGGGGATAAATTAGCACAGCCATTTGGGGAACAGCTTTGCAGTTATTATTAACATTGAAAAATGCACACATTTTATGACCGAAAAAATTCCCAAGGCATCAACCCTAGAGAAACTCTTCTATGAGGGTAAGAAAACACCTCAGCCTTGTAATAATGAAAACATTTTTAAACAACCTAAATTTTCATCTAAAGTAAAAGTGGTACATATTAATTAGCAGCAGTGAAAAGCAATGAACTATATCTGCGTATCTTGACATGAACAGATCTTCTAAGCCCCGTAATGAGTGAAAAAATCAAAGTGACATATATATAGAGAGAGAGAAAGATTATTTATTACATAAATTTATTACATAAATTTTTTAAATGTGGAAGATAATACTTTACATGATTAGGGACACAAATATATATTATAAGCATTTTTTAAGTGGACAAGAAGGCACATACCAAATTTATGACAATAACTTCCTCTGGAAAGGAAAGGAGGGAAATAGGAATGGGTAGTGATAAAAGTGAGATTCAATTTCATCAGTGAATTTCCTTTTTTAAAGCTCTCTGTGGGATTAATATGATGCTGTGTTTTAGACCATTTTCTGTTGCTTTAATAGAATGACTGATACTGGGTAATTTATAAAGACCAAAAGGTTATTTGGCTCATGGTCTTGGAGGCTGGGAAGTCCAAGGGCATGGCATCAGCACCTGGTGAGGGTTTTCTTGCTCATCATAACATTGGGGAAGGCATTATACAGAGAGAGAGCAAGCAAGCACATATGAAAAAGACTGCAAAAGTGAGCTGAGCTCATTTTATAACAACCCACTCTCGTGAGAAGTAACTTCCTCCCTAGAGAACTAATTCACTCCCATGATAATGGCAGTAATCCATGCAGGAGGGCTCCACTCTTGTGATCCAAGGATCTCTTAAAGGCCCCACGTCTTAATACTGTTACATTGGCAATGAAGTTTGTAACACATGAACTTTTAGGGGGCACATTCAAACCAGAGCAGGCTGGGACTTCAAATCTCACCCTACTGAGTTTCTTCCCCTTCTCTGACCTGCATCTCCCATTGTCTTGCCAGTTTCTCCTGGGAGCGCTTCCCTGATAAACTGTGTGCACAGTGAACCTCATCCCACGGTCTGCTACTAGAGAGCCTGTCCTAAGACGATGAGGCACTCAAGCGTCTCCCCCTCACTCCAATTCTTTGCTCCATCTTTGGTAGGCTGAAAAATGACTCCTGCCCCCACAAAAAATCAGTATTCTAATCCATGTGACCTGTGAATTTTACATTGTATGGCAAAACAAAGGGGTCTTTGCAGATGAGAGTAAATTAAGGATCTTGGGACGGAGGGTTATCTGGATACGCCCTAAAGGCACACACATTTATCCTTATCAGAGTGAGGCAGAGGGAGATTTGACCACACACACAGATGAGAAGGCCATGTGACGATGGATCAGGGAGAAATTCAAAGATGCTGGCCTTGAAGATTGGAGTGATGAGGCCACAAACCAAGGAATGCCAGCAGCCACCAGAAACTGGAAGAAACAAGAAA
This sequence comes from Homo sapiens, assembly GCF_000001405.40. Classification (NCBI taxonomy): domain Eukaryota; kingdom Metazoa; phylum Chordata; class Mammalia; order Primates; family Hominidae; genus Homo; species Homo sapiens. The sequence continues at coordinate 194,982,803 of NC_000003.12, forward strand.
CAAATTATCCCCTAAAGCTTTCAGAGGAGCATGGCTGTCTATGATTTTGAACTTCTGAGCTCCAGAACTGGGAGGGAATAAGTTTATGGTAATTCGTTAAAACAGCCATGGGAAACCAACATGCTCTCCTACTAATAAAAGCTTATAATCCTTACACCATGCTTACCATATCCCAGGCCCTGTGCTGAACTTTCACCCTGGTTGTCTCACGTAAGACTCACAATATCTCTTTGGGTTAGTTAATTCACAGGAGCAAAAACTGAGGTTTGAAGAAGTTAAATGACTTGCCCAGGGTGACACAGAGTCAGGATTCAGACACAGGCAGGCCAACTCCAGAGCTGTCCTTCTCTACAAGTACTGTGGTCCCACCTTTCAAGTTGGGAGGCCCAGCAGGGATGGTTATCAAGCAGGGAAGAAGGGGAGGTATGTCCAGTCTCTGCTGTATGTCAGGATCCCAGAAAAAAAGCATTAGAAGCCTGGGCTCTGGTATCTCTCCACCTGCCAGACCCCACCCACCAGTTCCAAGGAAAGGCAGCCCCAGCAAACGTCTCCACAGGGACTGAGCAAGGCAGATGGCTGGGCTGCTGAGCAGACGGAGGGAGCCCAGGGCTTTCTGTGCTCAAGGCCTGCTCAGAGAAGGTTGGTCTGGACACCCCAACCAGCCAGTTCACCAAGCACTGGCATCTTCCCACAAGAGAAGAAAGGAGGGAAAGATGGAAAAGAAAGAGGGAGGAAAACAAAACAGCCCAAACAGCCCAAATCACTCCTCCCCCAACAGCTGCGTTCAACAAAGGGACATTAAATTAAATTCTTGAGGAAACAGGGCTCAGAGGGTAGGACCATGCCAAGTGAGCCCAGGAACACTTACCACTCTTCGGAACCCAATTAGCCTCCCTTTGGGACACTGGGCTCTTCATTAATCCCTTCTCTGGCTGAAAATGAGGTCCCTGTGCTTTGATCCCCTCTGCCTGCCTGCCAGGGCTCCTGGCTGGGAAATGTCACATCTGCCACTGCTCACACCATTGTCTGAGCTTACAGACCCATGGCTCTCCAGTAGCATAGGCCACGCTGCCAGAAGCCCCTCCAAACACTCACCCAGACTTGAGTGTGGTCCCCAGATACACCCAACATACTCTCTGGGCACCATCAGAGAAAACTCAGACCCAGTACCTGCCATGAAAGAACTTGAGATGGAAGAGGGAGAAAAACTTATACAAAAACCTTTGATATGGCCCATAAAATCTCATCAGAGCCTCTACTTTACTGAGCACTGGCCTAATCCCATTCCCACATGGTCCATAAACACTTTTGTGTCCCTTACCCCACTGGGCCTGTCGCCCTGCTGTCCTGCCCTGATGCAGCTGGAGGCTGGGGGGCTCCAGCCTTCTCCTGAGGATTCCTGTCTAAATGCTCAGCTGCTCTGGAATTCACAGGAGCCCAGGGCATGGGGCCCACCTGGTCTCCTGCTTCCTTCAGGTTGTTGCAGAGCCCCTGTCCTCCCTCGCCTTCTCTACCCCTTTGCTCCCCCTGCCTCGCCTGCAGCTGTCCATGAGCTCTGCTCAGCAAGTCCCAGCTGACCTGGATCTTTCCTTTTTTTCCAGCTAAACAGATATCTGCCTTGCTAATACTGACTGCCTTTCAAAGCATAATTATGATGTGTTGTGTTAAAATCACACTCCAGTAAGGAGCAGGAGACAGGGGAGAGGAATGGATGGGATGAAGAGGGCCAAGAGTCTCTTCCTGTCTCCCGGTGCAGGGATTAAGAGACTGAAGAGGGCATTCTGGGGAAACTGAGGCTCAGAATGGCCCAATAACCTGCCCAAAGCCAGACAGTCTGTAACTGGTGGAGCTAAGATCCTGCTGTTGACTTCATTTGCAGGTGGAGGAGGATGAGAAGGAAGTTTAGGGTGCATCTGCCAGGTCTGGGCAGAGCCTGCCCCAGTTGTGTTCAAGGTCCAGTGTTCAACACCCCCACCCTGGCCCCATGCGGGACTCCAGGGAAAGCCTGGAACCACGCCCCGGGAAAACACACAGGAACTCTGAGGGCTGGGCAGGGAGGGCTGCGGAGCTGCCCAGGACACCTTGCCTGACAAGGGCTCCTGCCATGCAGCTCATTTCAGCATAACACCTGCTTACGACGGCCTGCTCTGCCTGGGGAAGGATATCAGGCCCCGTGGAGGATGCACAGCGAAGCCAGCACGTCCCTGACCTCAAGAAGTTGCCAGCCTCCCGAGGGAGATGGCTGTCGCACGGACTCCCGCACCCACCAGAAGGCCTGCAGGGAGACCTCTGGGGCCGCTTTTCAGTCACGACCTCTATGCTCCACGCCCGTCCTCTGGGCGCCAACTGGTGATGCTGGAGCTGGGACTCTGCCCGCGGCTCCGCTCTGCCAGCCGGGTCTGTGTAGGCTCTGCAGCCCGGGCGCTAGAGCGGCACCTCCAGGCTGGTGCGGGAGGCAGGACTTGCTCTTCCTATTTGCTCCCTGTCCGCTTCCTGCGGGCTTCCTGTTCCTGGGAGCTCGTTGTCTCCCTCCCCAGCCAACAGCCGGCAGTGCCAAACCGGAGCCGCAGCGGAACGCAGCTTGCAGCTTCTCCAACTCTGGCAGAAGCAGTTGCGTCACCCTGTGGCCCAAGAGCCGGCTCAGACCCCTGCTCAGAGGTTGGGATCCCAGGCAAGTGGGCCCTTGTCTGCAGGGCCCCAGCGCCAGCGCGCAGAGACCTCTCCTCAAGTCGGCTCTGCAGGGTCCCTCCGCTGTGTTTCTAAATGTCCCCCTTCGCCCCTTCAGCCACAGAAATAGTAGTAGCTGCCTTCTGCAGTTGCCACTTCTGCTCACCCTGTCAGTCTCTGTCACCCTGATGACTGCAGAGAAGAGTCTGGAGACCAAGATGGACCTCCCAGGACTTACAAAGCAGAGACTTTCACTCCTGCTCTGCTGAAAATCCCCTTCATGCCCTGGCTTTCCTGGACTGTGTCCTCGTTTCAACCTCAGTTTTTTTTGTTGGTTTGTTTGTTTTTGTTTTGTTTTTGAGATGCAGTCTAGCTCTGTCGCCAGGCTGGAGTGCGGTGGCGACATCTCAGTTCACTGCAGGCTCCCCCTCCCGGGTTCAAGCGATTCTCCTGCCTCAGCCTCCTGAGTAGCTGGGACTACAGGCGCCCGCCACCGCGCCTGGCTAATTTTTGTATTTTTAGTGGAGAAGGGGTTTCACCAAGTTGGCCAGGATGGTCTCCATCTCCTGACCTCCTGCTCCGCCCACCTCAGCCTCCCAAAGTGCTGGAATTACAGGCGTGAGCCACCGCGCCCGGCCTCAACCTCAGTTCTTTATAGGAAACTCTCTGTGCCCTCCTTATTGGATGCTGACTGCTGCTGGATCTTTAGTGGGTAGCTAGCCTTTTGATCTCATCCTCAGGATCTTGATGGCCCCCTCTCTGATAGCAGTTGACCTTATTCGTAGAACTGCTCCTCCACATGGCCCATCCCTTAGGATTTGACTTCACTGCCATAGCAGTCCCCTCTGCCCTAACTTGGCCTGAACATGATGTCAGTCCCAGAGGTGGGCCTGTGGCCTAAGGCAGCTGACCACAGCCTTCCCTGGAACCTGTATACTCTGAGCTCTTTCTTTTCCACAGTCACCAACTAGGGTAATTTAAACTGGGTTGTCTGCAGCGGGGCCTCTGCCTCCCACGGCTCCCCGTCCCAGGTTATCCTGTGTGTAGTAGAAAATAATGGTGACCATTCACAGATTGAGAGCTGGCTGCATTGAGGCTGCCATCCGGTCATGCCTGAGGTCCACTCCACCCCTGTCTTTCCCAATTTCTGGAGCCCAAAGCCTCCCTTTGTGTGTAGGCAAGCGTGAGCTGGGTTTCTGTCACGCTCAACAGAGGGAGTCCTGACTGATGTGGCAACGCCCCCCACACCTAGGTCGTCTGGAAACAAGCTGAGTCAGGGCTGGTCTAGTCAGACTCCCTACCTGGTTCTGCAACCTCACCACACAGTCTCCGCCGTGCCACAGTTGCTGCATAGCTTCCTGCTTATGCAATGGCTTTGCCAAGGGCCTAGACACCCAGTCGGGCCTGGCTGAACCAGGGCCAAGTTGAAAAGGCAAAATCCAAGATGGAACTAAGCAACAAAAGAGTCAAGAATCCAGGCCCCTCCCACCCCAGAGCCGTGGGCTTGACGCTGAACCTGAGTCTTCCCCAACCCCCTTGTATGAGGACGTGTGTAGGCGGTAAGTGTTGTGCGACAATAGGATTATATTCATTCCACTTCCTTAATGAGCCAGGCTTCTTTTGGAAATATCAGGCTCCAAAGCTGAGACATATATAATGTTATATATAAATAGAATGAATATAAATAGGCTGGGCACATTGGCTCACGCCTGCAATCCCAGCACTTTGGGAGGCTGAGGCGAGTGGATCACCTGAGGTCAGGAGTTCGAGACCAGCCTGGCCAACATGGTGAAACCTCGTCTCTACTAAAAATACAAAAATTAGTCGGGCATGGTGGCAGGCACCTGTAATCCCAGCTACTCAGGAGGCTGAGTCAGGAGAATGGCTTGAACCCAGGAAGCAGAGGTTGCGGTGAGCCACGATAGTGCCATTGCACTCTAGCCTGGGTGACAAGAGTGAAACTCCATCTCAAAAAAAAAAATGAATATAAATATATATGAATATAAACATATGTAGAGAGAATGAATATAAATAGATATATACATATGCATATGTGCGTGTGTGTCTAGACATATAGATACCTATATACACCCCAGAATATCTTTCCTATTTCTGCAGGAATAGGGTCCCAGGGGCCTCAGAGGCTGTTTAGTCCAGCCCACTCCCCTTCCCTCCCTCCTCCCAGATAAGGAAATTGAGGCTTCCCACCAAATCATGTAGTTGGTGACTCGCCACGTTGGGAGCAGAATCCAGGCCTCCTCTCGAACACATCAGTGTCTGACTGAACTGAAACTGCACACAAGGCAGATGCCTGACAGCTACCACCCTCAGACGTCAGTCTAGCAGGGTTCCCTGCGAGGACCTTAAGGGAGGAGAGGGGCAGCTGGAGGCCCTGAAGTCAATAGGCGTGCAGGGCCGTCCTCTCCTCTGAGGTTTTTTGCGTGGGACTTCCGAAGAGAAGAAGCTTCTCCCAAGTATATTTTCAAAATTCTTCTCTACATCAGACACACGGAAAAAACACAGCCAAAAGGCATCGGTGTGCTGACCCCAGCCCAGGCCCAGCAGGCAGCATGACGCAGGAAAAGGGGCCTGGCCCCAGCTGGCTGGGCAACCTGGGGCAAGTCATTCAGCCTCTTTGGGCTTTTGCTTTCCTATGTGCCACGTAGCGGGAGAGGGCATTCCAGTTCCCTACCCAACCTACTGTCCAAAGCTTTTGTCTCCAACTCTCTCATGCCAAGGCACAGCCCTGACTCTGCCAGCCCCCTGATCAGGGCCTCCCCAGGCAACAATAGGACCATGCCCATCACCGGGTACAAACTTTGTGGAGTTGTTGTGGACAGGGAGTGCCAGGCCTGGGTTTCCCTGGAGAGACACCGACGTGCAGGTACCACACATTTTGACTCCTGTCTTCTAAGTCGTAACACTGCAGCTCCCAGGATTTGCCAATTCAGCCCGGCTGCCCCCACCACGCTACTGATTACAGAACGGTCTAGAGACCAAGATGAACCTCCTGGGACTTAGGAAGCAGGACTGTGAATTCCCTTCATGCCCTGACTCTCCTGTACCTGTGTCCCAATGTCAAGTCTGAGAACCACAGAAACCTAGGAAGTCAGGGCTTTAGAGGAAAGCTCGTGATTTTAGCCTCCTCTCTCCCAATCCATTTTACAGACGAGGAAACTGCCCCAGAGGGCGCAGGAGAGACAGGGCAGGACCAGGAACTAGCTCACAGGTTGTCTAGATCTAGTCCCCACCCACTTTATTCTAGGTGCGCCCTTGGGAAATTCACTTCATCCCTTAGAGTGGCAGTTTCCACCTCTGTCAAGGTGAAAATAATCCCTTCTTTGTGGGGCTGCTGGAAGGATGAAGGAGGTTAATAAATGTAAAAGGCTTGGAGTAGTGCCCACCAGAGAAATTTGTCATTGTGAGCTCTATTAGTCACTTGCTCTAACAAACACCTCAAACCTTCAAAGTCTTAACACAAAAGAAGTTGATCACTCCTATAACATCCAACGCCAGCATTCCTTATGGGTGGGCTATTCGTCACATGGGGACCAGGAACTCAGGTTCATCATTTCCTGTGGTTTCCCCATCCCCGAGGACCCAGAAGGCCTCTGTTTCCAGTCAACAGAAGGGGGAAGACAGAGTGGAGAAAGCCCATCCACTCCTAAGCCTCAGCCCAGGGGTATTGCACGTGACTTCCATTCATACTCCACTGGCGAGAGCCAGCTCTATGGTGGCCATACTTGACATGGAAGAGTGGGGAGATGTAGTGTCTGGTCGAGTGGCCACCTCCCAACAACAAGCCCACCATACGGAAGGGGAGCCCACATTTGTCTCTGCAACAACTAACAAATCCTCCTGACCTAGTGGCTTCACATGACACTTATTGGTTCACACTCTCTGAGTCAACAATGTGGGCTGGAACCAGCAGTGGTTTTTCTGCTAGTCTCATCTGGGGTCACTTATGCAGCTCCAGTTAGCGGACAGCCCGGCTGGGCCTGCATGGCCTAGGACGGCCTCATACACATGTTCATCCCTGAGCATGCTATCAGCCAGGGTGTCTCGGTTCTCCAGCAGCGCATTCACACGGCAGCAGAAGTCCAAGGCGGCAAGAGCAAGACACCACAAGGCTTCCTAAGGCCTAGATTTGGCAACCACGTAGCATCATTTCTGCCACATTCTACTGATCAAAGCAAGTCACCAGGCAAGTCCAGGTTTAAGGAGTAGGGAGACAGACTCCACCTCTCAAAAGAATCTGTGGCCATTTGCAATCTACACACAGGGGTGGAGGAGAAGGATCACCCTCAGAAGATAAGAGGTTGTATTTTACACAGACCAGACACTCAGTGTCCTCTGCCATGGCTATCTGGTTGTCAGGATTTGAGAAGGAGTGTGGCTGCATCATACATATATGTAACCTATGGAGTCAACGAATCCACTGGGGGAGGGCAGAGAGAGATTATTTAAAGAGTGTCTTTGACTGGGTGCGGTGGCTCACGCCTGTAATCCCAGCACTTTGGGAGGCCGAGGTGAGCAGATCACGAGGTCAAGAGATGGAGACCAGCCTGGCCAAGATGGTGAAACCCTGTCTCTACTAAAAATACAAAAATTAGCCAGGCATGGTGGTGCATGCCTGTAGTCCCAGCTACTTGGGAGACTGAGGCAGGACAATCGCTTGAACCAGGGAGGCAGAGGTTGCAGTGAACTGAGATGGTGCCATTGCACTCTGGCCTAGTGACAGGGTGAGACCCCGTCTCAAAAATAAATAAATAAATAAAGGGTGTCTTTGATCCCAAGGCATTGACTCCATGCCTTAGTGTGGCCATATGACATGATAGAGAAGACACATTTATTATCCCCTCCCCAGTGTCATTTCCCACATGCCTGTCAGAGGATGAGCACTTGATTGGGCAGAGTATGATCCTAATGACTAAAGAGACACGTTTTTCATGGTGCATGATCTCCAGATACCTGTCAACGACTTCCTCTGGTGTTCAATCGAAGAACTAACGATTCCAGTGCTGGAGGAAAATCTGGCCGGGATGCACTCACAGAGAGAGAGAGAGTGTCTGACTCCAGTGTTATGCCTTCCTAGGGGACTTTCAAGGGTAATGTGGACTACACAGGATTCTAACCTAGTGTGCTAAGCTTAGAGCCCATCCTTCAGGTTAGCTAGGGCTCCCCTGGAGCACACATCTGTGCCAGCACAGGTGCTCAGTCACAGAGAGGAGTGTGGTTGGTCTCGTGCTAGGAGTCATGGATCTAACCAGTATGACTGCGGTGAACTCCTTTCCTCTCCCGGCCCTGGGAAGGGAACACTGGCCGACTAGAAAGACTCTAAAGGGAAGTGACCAGCACAGAGGGGCACAGAGCAGTCTGCAGACCAAGTCATGGGGATGATGGAAACGGCAGGTTTAGCCAGAGAAGAGAGACACAGAGAAGTTAAATATTCACATATTAGACAGGGTCAAACATGCTTGGTCATGTTATTATTCCCTATCCAGAGGCCTGCTGTGCTCTAGAGCAATCCTCCTCCTCCTCCTCCTCTTCCTCCTCCTCTTCCTCCTCCTACTCCTTCTCCTCTTCCTCCTCCTCCTCTTCCTCCTCCTCCTCTTCCTCCTCCTCTTCCTCCTCCTCTTCCTCCTCCTCTTCCTCCTCCTCCTCTTCCTCCTCCTCCTCTTCCTCCTCCTCCTCTTCCTCCTCCTCCTCTTCCTCCTCTTCCTCCTTCTCCTCTTCCTCCTCTTCCTCCTGCTCTTCCTCCTCCACTTCCTTCTCCTCTTCCTCCTCTTCCTCCTCCTCCTCCTCCTCTTCCTCCTCCTCTTCCTCCTCCTCTTCCTCCTCTTCCTCCTCCTCCTCTTCCTCCTCCTCCTCTTCCTCCTCCTACTCCTCTTCCTCCTCCTCCTCCTCTTCCTCCTCCTTCTCCTCCTCTTCCTCCTCCTCCTCCTCCTCTCCCTTTCTGTCTCTCTCTTCCCTCCTTTGCTCCTTAAATTCAATGTCACCAGGTGATCCAATATATAAAAGCTGTGAGTGGTGATGCTCCCTCGGGCAGTTTAGATCTTCGCTTTTAGTGGAAAACACTTGCATTACGTGAAACTGAGGCAGGAGAATAGGACCTGGACGCAAGGAACCTAATTAAAATTTAATAATTAGAAAATTTTAAAAGCAATTTTTATTACAAATGCACTTCTTAATGAGATAAATGGAGATAAATGGAGCTGGCTTTTTTCCAACTAGGTTGTGTATCAGTTGATGAATATGACTTACTGTTTTAATGAGTCGGAGTTGAGCATCAATTTTATACCTATTTTTCTGGTTTTTTAGATGTAGGCATTGAGAAACTCTAGTCATATCAGTAGATGGGAGTGGAAGGAGTTTTGTTCTAAAAAGGTCATTTAATTCTCTGAACTACTGACTTACGTGCCTGAAAATCATGTAGTAAACTACTATTAACTTTGATGAAAACCAAAAACTGAAAACCATTTGTTTGGCAAAAGGATTTTTACCAGTCTCAAGAGTCATTATCCTTGTCATCTTCTGGAAAGAATACAAAAAAATTCTATTAAGACTTAGGAAATGACTCTTAATCAGACCCATTACTCTTTCCCTAAGAGGTACTTGACTTAACCCATTATTGTCAGACGAGTTTAGGAAATCAAAATCTATTACTTAATTAAACTTTTGACAATACAACATTTTGATAAAATGCTTTTATATCATCACTTGCTTTAAATATATTTTCAGAAAACCTAAAACTGCAAATTTAGTTAATTCAAATTATGAAAAATATGTCATATAACTTAATTATCAAACCAGTCCTTACTATTAAATCTATCAACCAAATCAGGCTTTATGTCAGAAAAAGTCCAGCTTTAGAAACATGCTAACAGGCATTTTATGGAATACTATAAAACTTAGTAGAAGATAAACTTTGTAAAAGAACATCATAAGGTAGTGTTTTAAAAATGGTTCGAGCTTTACATCATTTTTGTCCAATGTAATATTTAACCTATTTTATAAGCTTTAAAAACAAAATAATAGCTCAATATATGATTACTGACTACTTAATTTATAAAGTTTATAATAATGTACTGTGAAGCCAAAATTGCAAGTGTTTTAGGAAGTGAGGAATATGATAAAAGCCATACTTCTTTGAACTCTGGTGTTTCGCTTGGGGAATTAATTAAATAAGAATCAGAAATAATTCAATTAATTTCACTGAATATAATGATCACATTTTACTATGTATTTAATAAAAGAGAAAGATAAATTCCACTAAAAAAGTTGGTCCACACTTAGCATATTTTAAATGGGAAGTAGAAAATATAAGACATTCTACAAAATGAAATAAGATGAAGTTAACTCTCCTAGGACAATTTATGATGTGATTGGATAAAATAACTTTTACCTACTTTATTTATTTATTTATTTTTTATGTTTTTGAGACGGAGTCTCGCTCTGTCACCCAGGCTGGAGTACAGTGGCGCGATCTCGGCTCACTGCAAGCTCCGCCTCCCGGGTTCACGCCATTCTCCTGCCTCAGCCTCCCGAGTAGCTGGGACTACAGGCGCGCACCACCGCGTCCGGCTAATTTTTTTGCATTTTTAGTAGAGACGGGGTTTCATCTTGTTAGCCAGGATGGTCTCGATCTCCTGACCTCGTGATCTGCCCGCCTCGGCCTCCCAAAGTGCTGGGATTCTGTAATCACCACGCTTGGCCTACCTACTTTATTAAATAATGAGCACAACATAGGAAAGACATCACATAAAAGTTGTATTTGTATATTTTTCATGATAGACTCAGGAAACATTACAGTTATATTTGGGGGCTAGAAGAATTAAAATTCTTAAACAAAAACAGTTATTACTCCCTCTACCTGACTCTACTACATTTCTGGATTGAGAATATCCCAGCCTGAGTCCCAATTCCCTATTTCTAAAGTGAGACTTCACCTCTAACGGAAATATGCATAAGACCAGGAACGGTTTTGTACTCCAGGGTGTTTTAATGGCTTGATTAGTCCTTAAAAGGCGTCTCCCCGGCCAGGCATGGTGGCTCACGCCTGTAATCCCAGCACTTTGGGAGTCCCAGGTGGGTGGATCACCTGAGGTCGGGAGTTCAAGACCAGCCTCACCAACATGGAGAAGCCCCATTTCTACTAAAAATACAAAATTAGGTGGGTGTGGTGGCGCAGGCCTGTAAACCCAGCTAGTCGGGAGGCTGAGGCAGGAGAATCGCTTGAATCTGGGAGGTGGAGGTTGCAGTGAGCCGAGATCGAGCCATTGCACTCTAGCCTGGGCAACAAGAGCAAAACTCCATCTAAAAAAAAAAAAAGTCTCCCTTTTGTGTAGCACCCCAGGGGTTTCCCTATTTCTCACAGGACGATGGGTATCTTGCTTTCTCCAGGCAGGGGAAGCATTACCGTCAACCCAAGTGCATCCCAGGGAGATGAGTTTAGGAAAGATCGTCATGCCTGTGAGGCTGAGAATCAGAGCATGATTCCCTCAAAACCTGCAGGGCTCAAGGCCCCTTGGTGACCTCTTCCACCTGCAGGGGTTTGCAGCCCTCACTCTGAACACCGCTGCCTTCGGGCGCTGGCATCCACAGTCTCTCTTCACTGCAGGTTCCGGTGACTCAGTCCAGCTGCCCCCGCCCGCCCACACTTACCCACGGGGCTTCACCCTCGCTGCCTCCCAGCTGCCCCCGTCGCCCCACACTTACCCTCGGGGCATCACCCTCGCTGCCTCCCAGCCCCTCTCACGGAGGAAGGCTGAACATGTTCTCCCTGGAAACTGAGGCCTGGGTGAGGAGGGGCTGCTGGAGAGCAGGAATCTGCTCCCATCTTCAGGACCCTCCCTGGAGAAGGACACTTTCCCACCTCCACTAGATTCTCTGGAAATTCTTCAGTCATCATCTGTATTCCCTGAAAAAAAAAAAAAAAGTGGGGGTGGGGGCACGTTTTATCCCTTAAAAAAGGGAGAAGTCTTTCTTGATTCCCAAAACAGCAGAAAATCAACATTATTTGGCTTTTTTACTTCCAAGACAGACTTTTGGAGTTTGCCAGGCTGGGCTGCTTGCGTTAATGGCAGCATGGATCAGGGAAAATGCCAAGACGCTGAGGTCTGAACACCTGGACTCCAATCCCAACCCCGCACTCATCCACCGTGTGACTTTGAGCAAGTCACTCCACCTCTTTGAGCCCTAATTTAAGTCCAAAATGTGGTGGTTGATACCTGACTCCCAGAGTATGGGGGAGGATTAAATGGGAGCATACACCTACAGGACCCAGGACAGTTCCCTGGGGTCAGGAGATGCCCCGTGACATCCTTTCCATCCCACTGTCCCTTGCTCTCCAGCTCAGAGTCAGGACCCGTCCAGCCCTCTGGGACAAGCCCAAGGAGCTGCTGCCCTATTTCCCTTCTCTAACCCTCAGCCCTAGCACACAGGCTCGGCTCTCTGGGTTCCCCCTTTTGCAGGCAGCCCCTGCCCTGCCCCAGCTCCTGCCCCAAAGCCTTCCTCAGACTTCACAGGGTCCGTGTCCTTCCCCTCTGAGCCTGGACCACTGGGTGTCACACACATGTGTACACTCTTGCACACACCAGTGCACAACCTCCCCCCCAACCCCCTGCCTTCCTAGGGCTCCCTTTGTGGCTGAAGCCAAACCCAGAGAAAAATGCAAAGTAGAAAGAAGAAGAATGGAGTCCATTTTTCACATTCTTCCAGGATCCATGAACTTCAGGGTGCTCAGATGGGAAATGAATATGGGCCTCTTTTTTAATCCTACATCTACTTCATTGTCTCAATTGGGAGAGTAATTAATAAATGATTAATGGGAATGGCTTCTACAAAGATGGAATGATCCCGAGATGTGTTGCAACCTGCTGCCCAGATCGTCTTTAGAGAATTTAGAGCTGCTGATAGCTTCAGGTTGACTCTTTTCCTTTACATAGCAGATAATGCCCCAGGCGGAGGGACTGTCTCCCCAGAGCTGAGCACTTGACTCACATCAAAGGGAAAAACCAAGCTTAACATTAAACAGCGGGTTCAAAGTACCAGAGCAGCCCATCTCCAAGGCAGTGTGAGAGCCCCAGGCTGCGGGCCTTCCAGGCCAGTGAGAGCCAGGCTTGTGCCCTGATGATCGAAGGCACCTTCTCCCACTGCCCTGGGGATTTCATGGGAGCCAACAAGATGCCACGGAAATTAATACATAAATAAAAGGAAGTATAGACCCACAAAGGCAGCAGCAGTGACCTTCGGATGAGATCTTAGGGTTGACTTTGAATTGTTATTTATTGTGCTGTTTTTCTGCATTGAGCTTGCATTATTTCTGGAAACTTTGTAATGTAATTTTTGAAGAATCTGGTACAAGGCATCTGAAAGGCACCTGATTATGTAAAGGCAGACAGACTGAACACAGATGGTCTGCTCAACCCCTTTTCAGGGTGAAAAAATGCTTGGTTCTAAGGTGGGCAGAGGTCCTGAGGACTTCACAGCAGGACCAGGTCAGATGACACGAAGGGAGCGAAGACTCTCACTGAGATCACTCTGCCACCGCGTCCTCTACAGTCTCTGCCAGGCCTCCAGGCCCTCATGCCCTGATCCTGCTGAGACTCCCCAGCCCAGCTTTCCCACGAGTGCCAGGCCAGAGAACCCACAGCCAAATGTATTTTCAAAGCCAACGACAGCTCTGCCTCCACTTGAGTGAGCTTAGGAAACGCAGGAAGAAAGGAATCCAGGCGCCCAAGAGGTGAAAGGAAAGAAGTGCTTTACTTGACCAAAGGTAGAACACGTACTTCCGGGGGGTGCAGAGCTCTTGACTATTCGAAGCTTCCACATTTGAATTTCGCTCCAGAAGGCGCAGTCCGGGCTTTGAACTGCTTTTCTGCTGGAAAGCAGCACCACCGTATCCCCTGGTTTTGTGCTTCCCTTGCTACTGACTTAATTGAAAGTCCAGTTTCCATCCTTCAAAATGTAACCTAAACCTGAAAATGTGTAGAGACACAAAGTAGATGAGGGTGTCGAGGGGTGGGTGTAGGGATGGGGATTAACTGTAAATGGGTGTGAGGGATCTTACTGGGGGTGAAAATGCTCTAAAACTGGTTTCTGGTGATGGTTGTGCCACTCAGTAAGTTACTAAAAGTCATTGAATTTTACACTTAAAATGATTGAATTTCATGATCTGTAAAATAGACCTCAATAAAGCTAGTCATAAAAACAAAACAACAACAACAAAAACAAAACACCCATTCTTATATAACCTCCTCTCCAAACTCTTCCCAGCTGCCATCACGCATGGAGCTGATCACGCCCTCCTCGGAACGCCTGCAGCTCTCTGGGTTTCCCTCCCTAACCTGTGAGATTGGTGGTTGTTCCTGCCTCTCCCATCTAGACCAGGCCCCGTCATCTCTGACTGCCCTATGTCTCTGCCCCAGGGTCGCCCAACGTCCTGAAAACCTGCCTGGCCTGAATAAATGAAGGGAGGACGGGGGACAGCTTGCAAGCTCACTCTATGAGCTCCATTGCCCAGGCCTTCTTGGCTTCCGGGAACTTAACTGGACACACAGACCTATTTCATTCACACCCCCAAGCCACCCCATCCCAGGCCCAGTGGGACAGACAAGATCACATGCCTTGTGACCCAAAACTCAAGGACACTGCTACATCCAAGCACAGAAGGAAGTCGCCTCATCGAAGCTCTTATGCTAAGGTATTCATACCCCCGTTATTTATAACAGTAACAAAGCTGAAAGACCAATAGGGCATTGGTTAAATAAAAGTACCACCGTAAGAGGCATTATATAGTGAATTAAAAGGATATTCCTCAAAACAATTTAATGGATGGAAGACTATTTACAATATCATAGCAAGCCACAAAAGCAGGTTGTAAAAATGTAAACTGTATGTATGATCCCTATCTGGTTTTTGTAAGTAAAAACTGGAAAGAATAGCAAAATGTTTACAGTGTATTTGTGGATGCTTTTCATTTCTATCCTTATACTTTTTTGCATTTTCTAATTTTCTACAATGAACATACATTACTTATTTAAAAAATCACTTAAAGAATATAGAAAAGCCCAAAGAGTAATACAATAAAAGCCATGTAGCTGTTCCCTAAAATTAGGAAAGATCCTATTTTATTTACATCAATCTCATGTTTTTAAAGAATAAAACAAAACAGATTAGATAAAATCTTCTTTAGATAATATCTTCTTTATTCTCTTCCCCAGTCCTAGTCCCTCCCAACCTCTCCAGAGACAACAGCTTTTTTAGATTAGATGTAGATCCAGTCCATGTTTTAATATTTGTATTATATTGACTACATAGAATTATAATAGATTTTTGGGCCAGGCGCGATGGCTCACGCCTGTAATCCCAGCACTTTGGGAGGCCGAGGCGGGCAGATCATGAGGTCAGGAGACTGAAACCATCCTGGCCAACATGGTGAAACCCTGTCTCTACTAAAAAAAATAAAAATAAAAATTATCTGGGCTTGGTGGCGTGCACCTGTAGTCCCAGCTACTCAGGAGTCTGAGGCAGGAGAATTGCTTGAACCTGGGAGGTGGAGGTTGCAGTGAGCCAAGATTGTGCCACTGCACTCCAGCCTGGGCGACAAGGGCAAAACTCCGTCTCAAAAAAAAAAAAAGTATAATAGATTTTTTTAAATTCCTCTTAAATGTACCAATAAAATGCATCATACTGTGTATAACACCTTGCAACTTGCATCTTTCACGTTGAAATATACATTTTCTTTCATTCACTTAACTTCCGTATAATAGTCTATTGCATAATTTGCCACATATATTCATCTATTCCTCCTCTGATGGACTTCTGATTTGTTTCTAATTTTTGCTGTAAGACGCAATACAGTGAATATCGATGGGCGTGTTTTCCTGTGCACACTAGAGCAGTGGTTCTCTAGTGTGGTTCCAGGACCAGCAGCATCAGCATCCCCTGAGAACTTGACAGAAGGGAAAATCCTCAGGCTGCACCCCAGACTGAATTAGAAACTCTGGGGTCAGTGCCTGGCAATCTGCAGTTTGGAGGCAAACTACATGTGGTTTGAGAACCATTGCTTTAGACTAGAGAACATAGCTAGAAATGGAATCCCTAGGTCCTGGGGCCTGCCGTTTTAGGGTCCACCAAGTACCCCCCAACAGCTCTCGAAGCAGCTTGCTGATTTACCTCCCACCAACGGCGTTATGAGGGCTTCTCCACGTCTTCCCCAGTACTGGCCCTGTCAACCAGATTACTTTTAGCCAAGATGATGGATGGAGATGCTATTTCATTGTTGTTTAAATTTGCATTGCCATGATTATTAAAGATGTTTCACGTACATATTAACCACTCAGTTTTCTTCTTCTTTCAATAATTTTACAATCACAAAAAACAGATTTGAAAACATATACACTTCAAGCCGTACTCACTTGTCTTATCATCCTGTTTAAGACATGAAAGACTGGACCAGAACTCCATGGCATGTCCAGCCACCCAGACACCTCCCTGTTCCGTGGTCTGCCCCTCGGCTCTGATCTCAGTCTCTAGGCCTCTCCCAGGATGACCTCCCACGCTGAAGCTCACACTCTCCTCCCATAACTACAGCCATCCTGAGCCCATCTGCCTGGGAATCATCCCTGCCCAAGAGTTAATGACAGGGGGTGAGTGCTCTTCCCAGCCCAGCCCCAGCCCCAGAGGACATGGGACCTCATTCAAGAGATTCAGTTTCCCAGCCCCGACCCAGCCCCAGGGGACACGGGGCCTGATTCAAGAGATCAAGTACAGTAGATGCTTAACAAGGTTGAGAGACTAACTCATTCAATCATTTATTCATTCAACCAAAAACTATTCATTGAACAACATTGGTGTGCCAGGCACTGAGCTCAGCAGATTGGTGAGTGGTGACCATTATTTGTGGGCCCTCCTGGACCTCACAGTTCCTTGGAAGAGACAGACATTAAATGTGCAATTCCACAAATTAATGTAAAGTTGCAACCATCACAACAGCCAAGAGACGGAGGTGGATAGAATGGTGAGAACTGGTCAGGGAGGTGAGGATGGATTCCCGAGGAGGTAAGGATTCAGCTGAGACCCGGAGGAGGCAGAGGCGTGCTTTCCAGCACCGCCCAGAATCCCCACATTCCCCAAACCCTCCCAGCCCTCTATGCACAGCTCTGAGTATGGAGGAAGAGCTGAGCGCAGCAAGGCTGCCCAGAGCTGGAACCCCAGACACGAGCCTAGGCCCACTCACCCACCAAGGGGCTGGGCTGGACACACTTACCCCAGAGCCCCAGAAGACCCCCACCAAAGGCTGGCTGTGAGCTAGCTCATTCAGCAGAGCCCATGTCATGTTTTTAAAAAGAGTGCTGTGGGGAAAAAAGAGAAAAAAATCACTGACTGTCCCCTCCACCCAACTACTTCTTCACTAGACATCTCATCCCTGGTGAATTTCTGATAATGCCGCTGGGTGTTTACAGTTTCCAAATGAGGCAGAGGGGCTGGTTCACTGCTGCCTGGGAGTCAACACAGGAGAAAAGCTGTCATCCCCATCTCTCTCGCAATCTCTCTCTCAAGGTTTATTATAAAATACCTGTCCCCCGCCCTTCCTCTGGATGGTAAAATAGAGCATCCTCTGCATTGAGTTTTAATCACCACTGACAACCAGCTCACTTCAAGGTCTAGAGTACACATCAGAACGATCTTACATAAAACAGGATGTTTTTTCAATGTCCGGGTCCTGCCCACTGCAGTGCAGAAGATGGTGCCTTCCCCCGGCTTTGGCTAGAGAGCATAGGGGTATGTTAACCTGGCTGGTGATGCAAGGAGAATCCCTTAGAGGAAGCTAGAGTGACAGGATGGGTTGATTATTTCAAACAGAGATGGTTTCATGAGACTGCATGCAAGAGTTAGAAAAGTCTTCTAGATTTTTTGGTTTGGAGGCACACCAGAAAGGAAAGGTGAGATCAGGGTACCCAGGTGGAAATCCAGGCTCTCCCCAAAACCCCAGGCTCACTGAGGCAGCCTGACACGCTACTCCTCTCAAAGTCTTAATTGCATTGTCTGTAATTTAAGGAGTTAGACTAGATTCTCTCTAAAATTTCTTCCAGTTTAATGCCCATGAGTCCTGATTAATTTTGATTTTGTTATGCCCCACTTCATATGATTCTTGGTGGCTCACAAAAATAAATTTGGCATAGGATTGTAAAGACTTATGCAAAGAAATTGGATGGGAAAGAAGAGTAAAGTGAGGACACTAAAATAAAATTAGCCTCTAAGCTGCATGGTAAGGTCCTATGCACTTTGTTAAAGGTGAGCCATATTTTTGCTTCTGAGCTTCCTACCAGCCAATGCAGAGAGGAAAATGTGATCAGTTTTGAGACCAAGATAATGGTAAGAAAAGACCAGTTTTCAGGAAAGCATCAACTCTTCTTGGTTCTAGGGCCTGAGGCATTTCTCACTTAGGTCTTTAAAGTGAAGGAATGCTGGCATGTTAGAGCACATTCTCAACAGAATCTTTTCAGGGAACACATTAACCTCTTTATAAGGCCCCTCAACGTGGCCAGTGACATAACTGCAAAAGCAGTGTGGTGAAATCAGTTTGACCTGGACCAAAAAGCTGCGATATAGATCTGGAGTTCTCTGGTGGTCTTTGTAAGCCGAGGGGAATAGCAGAGTAGCTAGGACAGTATTTCTCAAACCGAGGGGCTAAGGGCTCCTGGGGTTCCCCAGACATATTCTTGAGCCAGACAGTGCTGATTCGGAGCAGTTATCCTCAATCACGTTCATGTACATTTCAATAGAGGCAGAGGAAAAGAAACGGATCTGCCAAACGGCCACCTGGGCCAGTGGGCCATCTCCATCACAGTGCGAATTTAGTGTTAGTCAATATAAAGGGGCATGAGTGTGATGTGGGCATGCTCCTGCCACCTAACCCTGCGCCTCCATGCTGCCACAATCCCTGCTACTCAGTGACAACCGCAGACTCAAGACTAGCCGGCCTTGGTCTGTGTAAAGCTGCCTTTCTTAGCTCCCAATTGCCCCACAGAGTAAGGCTGAAATTCCTCTACAGGCTGTTCAGGTCTCTGTGTGATCCACACCACCTTCTCCTCTGGCTTCAACAGGGATGCTTCTCTATCCTCCCCCTCCCTCCCAATGTCAAGCCCTGACCCCTGAGTCAAACCATTGATTTGCCTTTGTGCAGACATCTTCCAACCTCTGAGTTCCCTTTGCCTCTCTCCCCTCCCAAGTTTCTCTTTTGACTTCCTCCCATCCTCCAAGGTCCAACCCAAAGACCACCAAAGTTAAGCCTTCCCCATTTTTCCAGCAGATGAAATCTCCCTCCCTCCCAGAGCACTTGGCCAATGTCACATCCATTGACACAACTCTTATTTCTGCTGGGCATGGCTGACTCAGTGAACATGCAGGATGAAGTACAGAGAAGCCTTCAGCCCACAAGAAGAATTTGGTTTCTTGGGCTTAGACCTGTCTTCTCGGCTTGACTGGGGGCTTCTTGAGGGCAAGAGCCCCAGCTCACAAGTCCCAGCCCTCCTGCCACATTCCCACAAGTTTTGCTAATGTCTGCAGAATTCACTTGCAGTAAGGAGGGGTGTGGTGTGGCTGCATCAGGGGAGAGGATGCCTCAGACAGCCAGCAGGTGGTGGGCTTGCTGGCTGGGCGAGCTGGGGCAGGACTTCTAATCCCTTTGTCACAGCTGGGCTGGCCTGGACAGTGGCCAAGGGCAGGAGGGGGAGGGAGGTTGCCTCCCCGTAGGTGAACACCTGACACACTGTGTGCTTATTGGCATTTCTTGCTGCACCTGTTTATTTAACCAAAGCATTCTGATCACAATGCCCATTAAACCTTGTTGACATATTTGAAATTCTGCATTCATGCAACTCAAGCGTCAGCCTTCCATCTGCCAGCTGTATCCTATATTAATTAAAACAGTGGATGAGGTAAACCCAGTTAATCCTCTGGGGGAGAGGTGGGGTTTGTTTTTCAAAGGGATACAGTTTCAGCTTACAGGGTGCATTGGTTTGCTTTTCAGAGTTCCAAATGGGCATTTGTTGTGCACACACTGTGCCCAGAACCTTCTGCTAAATACAGCCTTGCCCCTGATCACTCCTGAGTACTGAGGAATGAATGTGGGTAGGTGCAGTTGTGCATGTGTACATGCGTGAGCTATACACGTGAGCGTTTTGTGTGAGCCCTTGTGTTCATGTGGGTGTGAGTACCACATCTGCATCTGATCAACACCCAGTGACATGCCACCCTCCACGAATGCACTCGGCACACCAAGTTCCATTTGTTCTTTGTTATCCTTAAAGCACCAGGGAAGCTGTACTGCTCACATCAATCACTTGAGATTAAAAAAGAGACAGACTTTGTGTTTACTCCGAGCTCCCTGTGATGATCATTACTAAGACTTGTAATTTCCCTCCATGAGAATCTGGCAGGCTGGGAATACTTTCTTTTGATGGTTGGCAGCTAGCTCTTCATGGAAGAGCTTAGTTAATTCCTCCCAGGCAAGTTATGTGTCTCACTCTGAATGACAGTCTGGGACCACGGAAGGCAGGACCCCTGTGCACGACTCCGTGGGAGAGGTTTCACATGGGAGAGGAAATACAAGGGGAAGGAGCCTCCTGGGACTGTGCAGCACGGGGTCCCCAGTGGGAGGAGCGAGGCCTGGCAGTTGGGAGTCTGGGGTTGGGTCTGGCCGCAGGCCCACCATGTAATCTTGCAAAATTACCTCGTCTTGGGCTCTGCTTCCTCATTTGCAAAATGAAGAGATCGGATTGCATCATTTCTTAGGTCCCTTGTGTCTACAGGCTCTAGGAGTGTGCCAAGAAATGGAGTTGATCTGCTGGTTTTGGTGGGAACCACAGCCTCCTAAAAATGTTAGAGCCGGAGGGAACCTCAGCTCAACTTCTGTGCCTAACCTCCTCATTTCCCAGAAGCAAGTGACTTGTTCAAAGCAAGTCAACGCAGAAGAAATAGAGTATGCATTCTGGGATGGAAACAGAGCCAGCCCAGGTCCCTTGGTGAGGTTTTGAATGCATTTCATTTCCAAAAGGCAACCGAGATCACTTCCCCTCCACTTAGGTCAGGACTTGGCTCAGGCCTCACTCAGCTCCTTCCCAAACCCCTATTCCCTATCTGAGCTCCCCTCGTCCCAGCACCAGGCATTCATTTGTGTGGTAGCAGCTGGAATACTCAGGGCTCCTGGTACACATAGAGTGGTCCCCAGCCCCCGCAGCAGCACCCAGCAGCTTGTTGGAATGGCAGGACATTGGGCCCCACCCCAGAGCTTTCAATCAGATCCCCAGGTGGTCCTTCAGCTTGAGAGCTGCTGTTGCAGGACCACCTGGTCTCTCCTACTCTGTTCCACTCCCCTTCTCCCCAGCTAGACTGTGAGCTTTTTAAGGGTAGGTCACGCAGCTCATTCCTGTGTGCATCCCAGGGTTTGGAATGGTCCCTGGCGCAAAATAGGTGCTCATCAGGTATTGGATGAATACATGAGTGACATGAACCTGTGCAGGCTTCTTGAAGGCTGTGAACATAGCACCAAATCTGGAAGGGAAGACCGAGTGTTGATGGAGAGATAAAAGTGACGGTCTGCAGATAGCCTTCTCCCTGCCCTCGCTAGAGGCAGGGGGTCAGGACTAGCCTGGTTGGAAGGGATGACTGTGACACGAAAAAGCATGAGAGGAGGTAGAAGAGGAGGGAAGGGGAGGATATCAGGGAGTTGAATGATGCCACGATCAGAGTGTTTGGGACAGACCTGTGTACCCCGTTCATGTCCACCTCCCCTAATCTTACTTTCCTAAAGCAAACGTTCCCTATTTTCAGATGATTCTGAGCAAAGGCGAGGAGCATGATTGTTCAAAATGAGAATCTGAGTTCAGATCCCAGTCCCATTGTGTACATGCTGTGTGATCTCGGGCAAGTGACTGACCCTCTCCCCGTGTCCGTTTCCTCATTTCTAAACTGAGGATCACAAAAGAACCTTCGAAGGGTGCCCTGAGGATTAAATGAGATCGTATAATGCATTGCTACAGGGCCTGGCACAAGGAAAGGGTTCAATGGATGTGAAATGATCATAAGTGAAAGAATAAAATCTGATCACTAGCTGGCTGGAGACTGTCCAGTCTGGGAGTCTGGCACCCAGCTCAGTTTGCAGGTCCTAAACCTGGGCTCCCACACCCAACGCTTTGGTTTTTCCTCCCATTGGCCCTCTAGGCCTACTCAGAAACTCTTGTCTCCCTGAGCCCCTCAGATTCATATGTCTCAGGACGGTTGGGTGGGGGGATTCTCTCTTGTCTCCAGAACACTGGCATGGCTTGCCCAAGCCATAGAACCCAGTTAACCGCTCCCAGGCCCTCCCACCCAAATGCCATTGTCTTCATGTTGGCAGCTGACAGAGGTGCAGCGAATGTTTACATCCCTAAATTAGAGAAAGCCTGATAGCACCAGTCTGGGGTCTCCTGGCGGCCTCCTTGTACTGTTTAGCTGCGTCCAGGATTCTGCAGTCGGGCCACCCACCCACAGTGCAGGTGGAATACATTGTAGCCTATGTGAGTGATGCCTCCCTGGAATTGTGCAGTACACAAGCCAAGCAGATGTATGCAGGGCTCTTGTCCCCAGGCCCCACAGCCATTCGTGTCATGCTCCTTGTGAATAAGGTAAGGGCTTTAGGAACAGCTTTGCAGGTAGTGGGCACGGGCAGTTTAAAGTAGTCACAGGTCTGCTCTTTAGAAACAGTCCCTGCCATTTAAAATTCTTGAAAAAAGAATCTCAATCTCCATTCCAGCCATCTAGGAGAGGGAAGAGCTGGGGAAAGGACACAGGAGGAGAAGCTCTAAACTATGCCCTCAGTTTGTCCCTTTCTGGGGGCCCTGCCGTCTGGGCATCAGACTGCGGGCGGGTCTACCATCAGCCAAGCGCAGGGGATGCATTCTCCGAGACGGTTCCCAGGTGGTGCTGTGAGGGCAGGTGCAGAGAAGTGAGCCCAGCACTGAAGGCATCTGCCAGCATTCATTCCAAATAACCAGACAATGTGCCCTGAGCCCCGCCAGCATTTGTGGTCTCCAAGAAAATGTTCCCTTTCCCTCCCACTCTCCCTGTCTCAAGAGGAAATTTTCCCATCTGAATGTGTGTGACAGATGAGAAGTCGAAGCTCGTTTATCCTTAATAATGTTACTGAAAAATACCAGTAATTACATAAGGACTGCAGAAAATCACATTTAGGTAAATGAGGGGAGGGATGGTTTTTATTACGTTTCCTCAATGGATATGTAATTGTCAGCTGTAAAGGCACCTTCCTGGCTCACAAAATGACACCAAAAGTCCTTGTGAGAAGACTGGGCATTTGTGCTCACTTGGCGCTGGTTGGGCAGCTGGAGATATTTGGGGTGAGTTACCCTCCTTGGTCCTCCCAAATTACACTGCTCCATCCTGAGTCAGCTGGAAGGAGAAGTGGGACAGGGGAGAGTTTAAGTATGCGGAACACTTCTGTGTGTCAGAACACAACGCCCACCCACCCCATCTCAGAGGAAGCCTACCATCCTTCCAGCCCACTGCCAATGCTGCCTCCTCCAGGGGGCCTTCCTGCCAGCCCGGGCTGCGTCCTGGTCCATCTTTCCCAGGAGGAAGAGGGACCCTAATGTGGAAGAATCTGCTGTGTTCTCCTCTTCCTCCTGGGGTGGACAGCGAGACTACACTTTCCAGCCTCCCCTCGTAATAAGGTGTGGCCGGCTGACTAAGTTCTAGTCCACGGAATTTGGGGGGAGTGATGAGCACCACCTCCAAACCTGGCTCTACCGCTGACTGGCAGCCCCGGGCTCCCACCGCCCACCCACGCACTTCTAACAGGGAGCAGGGCGGACCCAGACCCTCGCTGCTGATCACAACACAGCGCGGTTTCTGCCAGCCCCAAGCATGGCAAGGACCAGTAGGGCTCCCAGGCAAAAGGCAGCCTCCCTATCTGGCCATATTGGGGCTGCCTCACCCTCTCTCATCTTTGAATCTGCCAGACACAACTGGAGTCCCCGAAATCCCTGGATGGAACATTCCAGCCCTGGAGTGGGGCCATGGGCTCATGTGCCGATGGGCTTGGGATCTGTGAGCTTGTCGTCCTACAGCGTGAGTCTTCCCCACTCTCCCCATCATTCTATTTTAAAGGCCAGTATCGTGTCTCCAGCTTCACTTACATGCCTGTTACCAAGAAGGACTGAAAGAAGCAAAAATACACAAAGGATGGCTTGGGCAGCTGTAAATAGTTCTGACCCACATCCAACCATCAGCCACAAATCATTTGTGAAAGGATCACAGAATCTCAGAGTCCCTTGAAAAACAAAAAAAAGAAAACTTAAAAAAGTAAAAAGGAAGTTAACTTTTACCATATCCTCATTCACCCATTTGCCTGTCTGACATTCAGCTCTGCACTGATGACAAACACTTCATTTATGAGAAATACTTAGTTCCATGGGCTTCTCCTGCATAACACTTGACTTACACAGTTCATTGAGTCTAAAGAGCTGATTCTTAAATTTATTTAGGAAGAGCAAAGTTGGAGGATGAAGACCCTCAGCTTTCAAGACTTCCTACAGATCAGGCACAGTGGCTCACACCTGCAATCCCAGCACTACAGTCTGGGCACGGTGGCTCACACCTGTAATCCCAGCACTACAGGCCAGGCATGGTGGCTCACACCTGTAATCCCAGCACTTCGGGAGGCTGAAGCGGGAGGATTGCTTGAGCCCAGGAGTTCAAGACCAGCATCAGCAGCATAAGGAGACCCTGTCTCTACAAAAATTAACCAGGTGTGTTGGCGTGTGCCTGTAGTGCTAGCTACGTGGAAGACTGAGGTGGGAGGAGTACTTGAGCCCGAGAGGCTGAGGCTGCAGTGAGCCCAGTGAACCATGATCATGCCACTGCACTCCAGCCTGGGTGACAGAGAGAGACCCTGTCCAAAAAAGAAAAGAAAAAAAAAAAAGACTTTCTGTAGCAGACAGTGAGGTATTGGTGAGAGGAGAGCCTCAGACCAACTAGGGCAGAAAAGAGACCCCAGAAACAGACACACATATATATCATATCACACATATGATATATACGGTCACTGACTTTTGAAAAACAAATCATAACACATCATTATCACAGAGTTTGAAATTATTTGTTAAACGCCTGTCTCCCCTTGTAGGCGGTGTGCCCTAACAGGAGAAACGCACATCTATCGTGTTCACAGCGAGGTCCTCAACACTTAATAAATACAATGCCTGGAACAGACTCGAAGCTCATCAGACATTTTTCAAAGGAAGGAAGGAGGAAGGCTGGGGGCAGGCAGACTTTCTTGATCCTTCAGGCATGAATGGGCTCCCTCTCCATACTCAGACTTCTGACAACCTCCACGTAGCCTATTCTTTTGTTCTTCACACATAATGTTACGTAATGCTTCATTCACTTTACAACTCTCTGTGCTTCCAAAATGTGGCCTTACCAGTTACAAAGACATGACTATCAAAAGCAAGCAGGTCTTTCCAGCCATCTGCTCGGCAGGAAGGAGGACGGCTTGATTAAGATTGCACATCCACTTCAGCTGGTGGCTTAATCAGCCCCAAACCTAAAAGAGCTTTCACAGCTCCTTCTGCTCTTCCCCAAACCCCTCCTGTGGGGTCACCTGGTGATGGTCTGGCTGGGCTCAGCTTGTGGACTAGGATATCACAGGTAAGAAGAGGTGGTCTCTTTCCACCGTCCTTGCAGAGAAAGTGCTGGTGTGTGTGGAAAGTTGGAGAAATGGGTTCCTGAAATTGATTTCCACTAAGACATTTTTAGCTGACAAGAACATGAAAATCTGCTTCTTAGAAACAGAAGCTTTTCTTATTGAATTAGAACATGAGATAATTTGTTCACTTTTCATTTTGGTTTAAAAAACACCGCATGTTCTCACTCATAGGTGGGAATTGAACAATGAGAACACTTGGACGCAGGAAGGGGAACATCACACACCGGGGCCTGTTGTGGGGTGGGGTGAGGGGGGAGGGATAGCATTAGGAGATATACCTAATGTTAAATGACAAGTATGGTATACATATGTAACAAACCTGCACGTTGTGCACATGTACCTTAAAACTTAAAGTATAATAATAAAAAAAAGTGAAACAAAAAAAAAAATCTGTGTTAACAAAAGAAGAAGCCATCCTGGTCTCAGCCCTGGGCTGTAGATTTTTCCCATTCCCAGGGAGGATGGGCACCTCCTCTCGCAGGTGGCAAGGCTACTTTTAGGAAGGCTACTATTTTCTTCTAGGGTTGAGCAGACTCTGGCTTGCCTGTTGTCTCATGATAATCAAAACACAACCCACACCTGCAGGACACATTCCAGCTTCTCCAGAAGCCTTTTCACTTGCTGCTCGTTGTGTCACCAGCGTCAGGTGGTCCTTGCCCCAAGCTGGTGCATGAGATTCTTTTCCAGGGACTTCAGGGAACCTGTGCTCCAATGCCTCAGGAGAGGAGAGAGTCTGGACAGAGCCCAAGATGAACGTCACCCTGCCAGTCCTTGTGTCTGGAGCATTTGCTCTGCTCAGGGTGGGATGCTGGCACGGAAGGGGACACAGCAGAGGACGTAGAGAAGGGCTACAGGGGCTGAAGACTGAGCTCTGTAGTAGGAGGTGGGAGGCCAGAGTACTCCTGACACCAGCTTGCTGTTCTGGTGCCAGCTCGCTATGCAGACTTAATTTCATTAACTCTCTGAGCCTCAGATGCCTCACCTGTAATGTGCAAAAAAAAAAAAAAAATTTAAGCATCTTATTTTTCTTAACGATCGTATGTAAAAGGGTTCAATAAACTTGCAAGTATACAGCAGAAGTGGACTAAATATTACAAGTAGTCTTTTCCATCAAATTCTAATAAAGAAGGCACGTGACACACTCTATCCATTTCCTATGGCTACTGTAACAAATGACTCTAAAGTAAGTGGCTTACAACAGAAATGTCCTCTCACATTTCTGGAGGTGTAGCAGGACAAGCGGCAGACAAAACCCCTCAGACACCAAGTTAAAGAAGGAAGGGCTTTGTTTGGCCGGGAGCTTCCGCAAGACTCATGTCCCCAAAAGCCAAGCTCTCCAAGTGAGCAATTCCTGTCCCTTTTAAGGGCTCACAACTCTAAGGGGGTCCACGTGAGAGGGTTATGATCGATTGAGCAAGCAGGGGGTACATGACTGGGGGCTGCATACACTGGTAATCCGAACAGAATAGAACAGGACGGGATTTTCACAATGCTTTTCCATACAATATCTGGAATCTATAGATAACATAACCAGTTAGGTCAGGGGTCAATCTTAGTAACCAGGCCGAGGGCGCGGCGCTGAGCTGTCTGCCTGTGGATTTCATTTCTGCCTTTCAGTTTTTACTTCTTCTTTCTTTAGAGGCAGAAACTGGGCATAAGACAATATGAGAGATGGTCTCCTCCCTTAGAGGGAGAGGTCTGCAGTAAAGGTGTCTGCGGGCTGTGCTCCCTCTGAAAGCTCTAGGGATAATTTTCCTTGCTGCTTCCCATTTCTGATGGCTGTAAGCATTTCTTGGCTTGTGGCTGCACAGCTGACTCTGTCTTTATGTAGCCTGTCTTCTCTTCTTTGTATCTTCTCCTCCTCTGCTTTTTATAAGGGCACTTTATGGAATTTACAGCCCACCTGGATAATCCAGCATGATCTCATTTTGAGATCATTAATTTAATTACATCTTTAAAGACTCTTTTCCAAGTAAGTTCCCACTGACAGGTTCCAGGAGTTACGAGATGCACACATCTTTTGAGGGGCCATAATGTAACCTCCTACACACATACACCCCTAAACTCACA
Organism: Homo sapiens; assembly: GCF_000001405.40. Taxonomy (NCBI): domain Eukaryota; kingdom Metazoa; phylum Chordata; class Mammalia; order Primates; family Hominidae; genus Homo; species Homo sapiens. Next base: position 195,010,311 of record NC_000003.12, read on the forward strand.
CCTAGAACCACCACCTCATAGCTGAGTTGGGCTGCTGCCCAGGTGTCATCCACAAAGCATGTTTCATAAGCATCAGATTATATATTCCTCAAAGAGGTCTCAGAGGTAGGGAATTATTATCCTGTTTGAAATAGGAGGAAACTGAGACCTAGAGGGTGAGTGTTGTACTCAAGATCACACAACATCTGGGAATTAGAGCTGAGACTTCAACCAAGGCCCATGTGGCAGGAGGCACAAAACTTGTTTCTCCCTCCAGAGCAAGGGGGATGTTTTATCTGCAAGGAGAAAGAGAGGGGACTCAGCCTGCAGCTGTAGAAATCTTCATGGAGGTGCTCCTCTTCCTCTCGCATTACCTCCGCACCTCCAAGTCTGCACTCACCTCTGCCCAGCCACCCCTGCATAGAGAAAAGGCACAGGACTGGACCTACATCAACCACCGGTCTGTTCTTCCCCGCCCTGTCTGAAGTGAGGGCTCACACAAGGCCCCCACACGGCAGGCCACAGGTAACACTCCCTCAAAGAAGGAACCGAGGAACGAATGGTTTGTGTCAATCGCACCACTGGAGGAGGGAGTCAGGCATCTTGTGCACTGACCCAGATAAAGGAGAATTTTCTACTCCACTGCCTTCTGATGGATGAACAGAGACAGAGGCCTCTCCCTGAAGACATTCAAGCTGAGTCCCCATGACAGCTTGGCAGGGATGCTGTCAGGGGCTCCTGCCCAGGTGACATGTGGGTCTTGAGGACATATGAAGGTTCTGGAAGCCGTAAGGTCTCCCACCCCGTGGAAGAGGACACCAGCCACATCCAAGGCAGTGCCTTCCTGCTCCATGCGGTGACTTGTGTGGACCTCACTGACAGACACGCACAAAAGAAACCAGGCACCTGAATACACAGTTTTTGTGTGTTAGTTCAGGTGCTCTAAGAGGTAGACACCAAGATGGGTTTAGACGTGGAAGAGACTTCTTGGGAAAATGCCTGTGAAGGAGAAAGAGCCAGAGACAGTGAGGACAGCCCTTGGCCACAAGGCAGGCATGGCCTCTAGAGGAGGGTGGGCCGGATGGGAGAGTGGGAGGAAGTGACTCAGGGTCCCAATAGGGGGTCTTGGAGCCAAAGTCACCTGTTGGGGGAGTCCTTGTCTTGCAAAAATAGGCTCATTACATGTGCTCAGGCATTGGCTGGAGGCACCCTCAGGAAGGGGCCTCAGTGAGAACTGGGGGTAACTCCTGACTGGGCCTTCCATCAGGTATGCTCCCCTTGGCAGGGAATCTGCGCAGCAGTTTCACGGCTGTTACAGGATGAGTCTATTTACAGGAAGGTCAGGGACAAGTCAACTAATAGATGACGCACTCACAAACTCAACACAGTGGTTCCCTTTGGTGAGGGGTGGTTATTGACTGGAGGAGCCTTCTATAGTGCTGGAAATGTTCTAAGTCTTGATCTGGGCGGTGGCTCCATGGGTGTACACACATGTAAAGGTTCATCAAGGTGTACACTTAGGATTTGCTCACTTTACTGGACTTATGGATATTCAATACAAATTGTAAAAGCAATGCCTTTACCAGCTCCTTTCTTTCCCCAGGCCACCTACAGTCGTATATCTGAGAACATTCCTTCAATCGGTAGAAGGGCTTTTTGGAGGTGCTAAATATAATTTTAGGGACTTTAATTCAGTGTAGAGTCAGGCAGAAGGGGACCAGAAGTGAGAAAGTACAGCTTTGTGGCTCACTCTCAGATGAGCTGAGGCCCTTTGGGCAGCTGAGGGGAGAGAGAAGGTGTGGGGGGCCGGAAGGGTGCCCAGCAGGTTGAAGCAGGGAAATGCTGGGTGACAGTGACTCACAGGGTGGCCAAGGACAGGAGGGAGAAACAACATCCTGGGACAGTCTGCAGTAGGTGGCCCAGCCCAGCTGCCTGCTCCCTGCCCCCAGGTCCCAGAACCAGCCCTTCTGGATGGGTGCCTCTGTCTCCACCCTGGGGCACAGCAGGCAGCTGCTGGCCGTGGCCACCGGCACTTCCTCTGGACTCCTCACCGTCCTGATGCTTGGCTGGTTCTCCTAGATCACTATTTCTGTTCCAGAGGACGGGAAACACTATGAGGCCTCCATCTGGCCATAAGGAGCCCTGGCATGAGCCTCTCCCCATCAGCTTAGGAGAGTAAACAAGGGCATTGGTGCAGGGTACCACACAAGAGCCAGACTCCCCACAGCACAGAGAATGACCTGGGGAAGGTGAATCACCTGCTTCACAGGCTGAACAAAACAGTCTCCTCTCTACATGCAAGGGGATCTAGTGGCATTCTCAAATGGCCATCCCAGAGGGTCCCCAGCCCCTACACTCGTGATTGTCAGTCCTTTATTTAGCAAACACTCACCGAGGCCCTGCTATGTGCAACAACACAGGATGGAGCCAACACAGGCCCTACTGCAGAGCTCAGACATTCAGCACGCACCCTCACACCCGGACTTACTTGGGGCAACATGAAGGTGCATAAGGCAATCTGTCTCCCCCCTCAAGCAGCTTGCAGTCTGGGCAGGACCAGACACTTGCCTTTAACACAAGGTGGGCAGTGGGAGAGGATGGAGGAGGGGGCAGCTGAAGTCTGGTGGAGTTCTGAGGAGGGAGAGATGGAGCCAAGGAAGAGCTTCAGGCTCAAAGGGGATCAGGGCAGAATTGGGCAGCCAGAAAAGTGAGACTGACCTCAGTGTTCTTGGAGATACTGTTTTGGGGAAAGGCTGAACAATTCAGTCCTGTCTTCTCATCAATTACATTGTTTTCAATTACATTGTTTTCAATTACATTTCAGAGATGTTCATCTTCCCTCCACCCCACACGGTTTCATACGTGGCATCCCAGGCAGTCCCCGGGGCTGGCTGCCCCAGCTCTATCATCCAGGCCCCTTCCCAGCCCATGCAGTGCCTCAGGACAGCCATAGGAGGGGAGAGGTATCTGTCTTCCCCAGCCGGTGGTCAACCAAATCTAAGCACATGGTCATGCCAGCCACCTCTCATGTCACCAAAACTCAGGGGCTTGAGGGTTTATACATCAAAGCTCCTACATCCATGCCTTGATTCTCTCCTCAACACTGAGAATCTCAGTTCTTCACAGATGTACGCAGTGAAGAATTCCACAGGCCCAGGCCAGGGACAATTTAGCCGACCCTTTGATAATGACCATGGATTTTATTTTTCCTCCTGTCACTGTAAGATAGATATCTGAAAACAGTGCTACATACCACTCACCATTTTGGGGGGCCGGTGAGCATGAGTGGTGACCTGCAGGGTTGCCTTACAAAAACCCATGACATCACCTGGCACCCTGTCTCTGTCCTCCCTGGACGTTTGCGGCCTCTCTCAGCTCTCGCACCCAGCCATAGCAGGCTAAAGCGTCTGACAGCTTTGCATCTGCAATATCGAGATCCAGCAGCTTTCCACAATGGCTGGCTGCAGCATTTACAGTGACTCAGATCATTTTCAGAGTTTTCAAGTGTATTCTCTCAGATCAACCAAAATCTGTGATAGGAAATGATGCAGCATCAGATTGGTCCCGTGTTTTATACCAGATGTTTAAACAAGCAAAGAAGAAAGTATGCTTAAGAAAATACATGGAAAACACACAATCGCAGAGTTTGCCTTGCCAAATGGAGCCTCCTAAAGCCTCAGCATCTTTAGGAGGGGGGGATGTTTTCTGAGAAACAGCTAATTCTCCAAGAGGCAAGAGCCCGGGATTAAGATAGGATCTCGGGCAGGAAATGAATGGGGCATTTCATAAATGTGCTTTTCACTCAGAGCCGCTTAAAAGGTACAAGTCAAGCTAACTAGGCCCATGTGATGGCTCCAATTATTGGAATCCTGTGCCTGGTTACACCAGGCCTCGGTGCTGTCTCGTCTCCTGATGGTATCTCACACCCAGACTCACTGAGAGCACAGTGCGGATTTCTGTACAATAATTTCCTCACCAATGCTCCAGGAGGGGATGCCAGGAGCACAGCTGTTGTATTTGGCGTTTCAAGGTTGACAGCAAGAGCCTAAGGAAGACCCCTTTGACCAGCCTGGACTGTGCTGGCTTCTTTCTCTAAACTTTTACAGTAGCTGACTCTGCACCTAAAAATGTAGCTCCTAACTGGAAGTCAGAAGGGCTTGAAGGCACTATGGAGATCACACAACTCACCTCGCCCACCCCACTGGTCCATAACGCATTCTCTCCTCAACGTTGCCAACAAGAATTGTGCAGACTCTGAAAGCCTGTCGAGGTGGGGCACTCACACCCTCCCCAGGGAGGTCATTCCGTCTCAGGTCGGTCTTTGAGTTCAGAGTATCTTCACCTCAGATCGGTCTTTGAGTTCAGAGTATCTTCACCTCAGGTCGGTCTTTGAGTTCAGAGTATCTTCACCTCAGGTCGGTCTTTGAGTTCAGAGTATCTTCACCTCAGGTTGGTCTTTGAGTTCAGAGTATCTTCACCTCAGGTCGGTCTTTGAGTTCTGAGTATCTTCACAACAGTAGCCCAAGATGTGTCTTCCTGGAGCTTCCACTCATGGCTCATGGTTCTACTTCTGGAAGCCACACGATTCTACCTGTCTTCTGTCTGGCAACTCTTACACAGCCCTGGCCACACAGCTCCTTTTCTTTCTATAATTCCCCTCCAAAAATACCATTGGTTCTTTTCTAATTATTTAGCCACGTTTTCTGATCAGATAGACCTTACTAGCTTGGATTTTCCTTCCTTTGTGTTCGAGTTCCACCCCTGCCCTACTTCCTATTCCCACTGTCTTTCTTATCATAAACCCAACACAGGGTTGAAGACATAGCAGACACCCAGCCAAACCGGAAACCTCTGCCTACAGCCACATCAAAGATTGGCTCGCATTCTCCTGAGGCTCTTCAAGTGGTGTTGGGAAGATTAATCAGCATCTTAGGCATCTATGAAGTGCCCTGAAAGCCTCAGGGGTGTGCAGCAATCACAGACCAAACACAGGCCAATCCCGAGCTGCACAACCCACGGTGGAGAGATGGAACCCTCATTTCAGCTCATAGCAGACACCCCCTTGGCCCTGGGCCTCAGCAGGGAATCCAGACATCAACAATCAAAGACCATCTGATGCCTGCTTTCTGACTGCAACTTAGATGGGGAAGGATTTTGAAAATTGCTTAGACTTGAGTCTTGCAAATGAACTTTCACAAGGATATAAAACAGCTGTGGGCAGAGTTTCACAGGATGCCACCGAGGCAGGAGGCCTAAGCCCTGTAGCCGAGCTCCTGAATTTCACGTCTCGGAGGCCACCGAGAATCTTAGAACCCTGGGGTTCCACGAAACACGGTGTGGACCTACCACCTCAGCTCTTGCTCTGTACCTTGATTTATGGAGGAACTACAAAATCACCAAACATGCCCTATTCCACATCTCTTGCAAAACCCCATCTTGACAAATAATACAACAATTAGCCAGGCATGGTGGCGTGTGCTTGTAGTCCCAGGAACTCAGGAGGCTGAGGCGGGAGGATTGCTTGAGCCCAGGAGGTTGAGGCTGCAGTGAGCTGTGAGCATGCCACTGCACTCCAGCCTGGGTGACAGAGTGAGACCCTGGAAAACAAAAAACAAAAAAACAAAAAACTAGAGAAGGAACCCTCATAAGACCGCAGGGCAGATGGTGGCAGAGAAAGATGACAGCCCAGGGCAGAAAAGAAGGATGTGACCTCACTGACAGGGAGATGGGAAGGTCCTGCTGGAGCCACACTGTGACCCTGGAAAGTGGCCACTGGAGACCTCTACTCTCCCTCTCGAGGCTCCCTCCCAGGCTCCAGAGTCCTCTTAGTGTCCCCTCAATGCCAATTACCTCCCTCCATGGTGCCCTACCCAGGCTTGCTTCAGGGACCACTGCTCTTCCCTGCCTTCCCACGCCCAAGTTAATTCCATTTCCATCCCCTCAGCATCCTTCTCTCTGTAAGTCAAAGTGATCCATGTAAAAAAGCCCATCACCTCTCAGATAACAAATAGAATTGGGGAGTGGATTTATCTATTTCTTTTAAATTGTCTAATTGATTGGCATATTTGTTCATAATAGCTTCCTATTATCTTTGTAGTATCTGCAGCATCCCTACTGATGACTCCTTTGTCACTCCTGATTTGGGTTATTTGAGCCTTCTCTCGTGTTTTCTTTAACAGTCTTGCCATAGATGTGTCTATTTTATTAATTTTTGCAAAAATCACACTCGTGTCTCTATTTCATTATATATGCTCTTATCTTTATCATTTTCTTCCTTCTATTTTCTTTAAGTTTACTCATTTGTAATTTTCTGACTTCTTGGATTGCAGACTTAGCTCATTAATTTTCAGACCATTTTAAGTAACAGCTTTATTGAGATATAATTTATATACTATAAAACTTATTCATTTAACATGCAATACTGCAGAAATCTTGTACATAGGTTGTTTTTTTACATGTGCAAGTTCTTTATTAATTTTAGACAAACTCACATTCTTTATCTGGCTATTATCCCAATTTCCTGGAACTTTAGTCCTTCTGTTAATTATATCATCAGACTCTTGTACTTAGTGGATATTTTTCTCATCTTTAGTGTAGCTTGTGTATTCAGTGAAACCCTTTCATCCTAGATTATAGAATAGTTTCTCTAAAGTGTTGCTGTATTTCTCTAGGCAAATCAAAAGTATCAGCAGCCTAGGACCCCATTTTTAAGGGGTGGGGTCTTGCAACGTTGCCCAGGCTGAACTCGAACTCCTGGGCTCAAGGGGTCCTCCTGCCCAGCATCCCAAGTATCTGGGACTTTGGGGCACACACCACCATGCCTGGCTGTATATTAAGGGCTTTGGTTTGGTAGTTTCCTGGACTTCTGGATAGTATAAATTCACATGTAAATCTATATGAAACACAAGCCCTGAGTTTTGACTTCTTGGGGGAGAAATTTTCACTCTGTGCCCAAGCAGAAACAGACATGCTTTTTGTTATCTTGCTGTGCCAGTGGACGGGTTTTCCCCGAATCTCTACTTTCCCTGAGGGTGTGGCCCTCCAAGAATGCCAATTGTCAGCAGAAGTCTCCTTCTGTCTCCGTTCCTTCTCCAAGGTCTCATTTCCTGACCTTATGTGAGCATGAAGGCCCAAGCCCTTAGGTTGCTGAAACTGATGCCATCATGACCACCACCCCATCGCCACCATCAATCTCTCCCCACAATTACCCCAAGAGTAGGCAGCAGCAACTCATTCACTCTCCACTGTAGCTGTTTATCCCCTGTTTGTTTCTGGTGTCTGGTAATTTTCTTTTCTTGCTTGCATGCTTGGCTATTGTTTACAATAATTTTTTTACATTTTATCCAGGTGTTTGTGGCAGAAGGGTTTATGTTTATCCAACATTTCCTAGAGGCTACTTTCTCCCGGGACTTTACAGTAGCTCTCATCAACACTATTTACCCTGCATCTACCACCGCACCTGTTTGGTAAACACAAGTAACTATTTCTTATAAGAATCATGATATTTTAGAAACTTCATGGTGAGTCTAAGTGGAGAAACTTACAGTGAGTCTAAACTCTTCAAGGGCTAAATGTCAGTTGCTGTTGTAGTACCTGTACTCAGGCTAGGATTCTTTCCATCTTGCTGAAGGTTCTCATTCTATTCTGGCTAAAGAATCCTATAGATTTATGGATCCTGTATCAGAGATATTTAACATCTATTTAGAAACAGCCAAGGATGGTATCAATAGTTTCTCATTTTAATCTCAGTATGTTCAGATGCCACATGAGGTCAAGAAAGTATAACTGATATACTTTAGGCTGCATTAGTGAAAGTGACTCCAACCAGAAATGAAGAGCTCTTTCTGACTCTCCAGTCAGTAAGTGGAGTGTGTGTTTGTTTGTTTTGAGATGGGGTCTCGCTCTGTCGCCCAGGCTGGAGTGCAGTGGCATGATCTCAGCTCACTGCAGCCTCTGCTTTCTGGGTTCAAGCAATTCCCTGCCCCAGCCTCCCGAGTAGCTGGGATTACAGGCACCCACAACCACACCTGGCTAATTTTTGTATTTTTAGTAGAGACAGGGTTTCACCATCTTGGCCAGGCTGGTCTTGAACTCCTGACCTTGTGATCCACCCGCCTCAGCCTCCCAAAGTGCCGGGATTACAGGCGTGAGCCACCGCGCCCGGTCGTGAGTGGAGTTTTTGATTAGTATTTCTGCCCTTCTGTTCTTGATCATTAGGCATCATCAAGCCATTTATCAACTTGAGTTTATTATGGACTAAACAGGGTGATACTCCCTTTGATCTTAGAACATCTTTCTTCTATCTCCCCCGTGACATGTTGCACTCACATATTGTTGATATTCCCCTAATCTACTGATGCCGAACTTGGGGAAGGACTTGAGCAAAATTTCTTATGCCACAGAGTGGTAAAGCCCTGTTCCATAAGGGAACATTTCAGGGCATTGGGCAGATAATTTATGTAACAAGATGCGACAAGGTAATTAGAAGGTAGAAGGAGACTCCAGGACAAACATATCCTTATTGCAGCTAGAGGTCATGGTCGTGTCTGATGCCTCCCGTTTCTCCTGAAAATGCATCTGCTGCTGGTCATCAAATAGAAAGTTATGGCGATGGAAGTAGTTGAGAGGAGTCACTAAAACAAGAATAGAATTGCAACATGTTCAATAGTTTGTGAATTTTATGATGAGCCTTGTTGAAAAGGTTACCTTCTGAGCCAGGCTGGGGTTTCCATAGCTCCGTCCCAATAAGATGCAAACCTCATGTTGTTGGAAAAGCCTTTATTTCCTGTGTTTTATTCCAGGACACATGGAGTAACCACGATTCAATTGGGTTCTGGAGATGGGTACCAGTCCTGCCATCAGTCAGAGATCTGTGGTACGTTTGGAGCCAGAATCATATAAGACATCTCTTCTTCCTCTTGCTATGTCCTTTAGTGAGCTACTTCTAAGACATAAGAACTAAATAAAATTCTCTAAAGAGAACAAAACCCAGAGTCAACAAGGAAAATGCTGAGCTTAGTAACAAAAAATTCAAAAAGTCATCAGCAAACAAAAAGAGTATGTGTCAAACTGACACTCTGTTTTTAGCTGGTCCATCATGCCTGCTCTAGAGAGACGAATGCTGAGCTAACTCTCCAGTCAGCACGCGGTGCATCTCCTCCATCATAATTACTCCCATACTTAGGAGAACTGACCTGGAATGAGAGTGTGGGAATCACATCATCTATTCTGAGTGCACAGCAGTTTTAAGTCCATTCCCTTGGGCAAGCTAAAAGGCAGGTCACTATAATTTGAATAGGATGGAAGTAATTTGATTTTGTTAAGTTCTTTACAATACATAGAATTATAGAATCATAAAACCTCAAGGTTGGAAGGGCCGTTTTGTCTTAAAGGGCGTTTTGTCTATCCAATTCAGGGATCTCCTTCACCACGTCCCTGTCAGTATGTTATACATGCTCTGCTTCAATAGCTGCAGGGATGGGAGCTTGCTTCTGCCCAAGAGAGTATAATGAGACTGTCCCTTCCCCACAAAGAGGTGGAGATTTCCTACGGAAGATCACAGCTTTTCAAAAACCAAGTGTGCTACAAATGCATAGTGAGCCCTTGCGACAGACTCCTCCGTTCCTTCACTACCCCATGGTCTTCCTCTTGGGACCACCCCAAAGCTCTTCCCTTCGTCGAAAATCCTGTCCCATCCTTTCTTCCCACCTCTCTCCAACACTATTTCCCTGTTTACTGAGGAAATCCAGACCATCAGACAAAAGCCGTCAGCTTCCCTGCCCTCCTGCCCTCCCTCATCTCTCATCTTCACTTGCCCTTGTGCCCGAGGAAAGAGTGGCTCTCTTCTTGTCTCAAGGTAAACCTTCCTCTCTTGCTGGGGATCACACACCTGCTGCCATCTGTTAAATTTGAATGACCAGGCAAATCCTCTTCTCCAACCCTTCTGGATCATTCTCCTTCATCTAGAAACACGTTCAGGCCTTTCCTACACTTAAACATAGCCTCACTTCACTCTGCTGTTCCTCTCCCGGGGCTCCATCTGGGCTCATTCATCCAATTTTAGTTAACATAGGCTAGGCGACACTGCTATAACAAACAGCCCCAAGTCGAACACAACAAGGGTTGGGTTTATTTTTCCTCACTTAGGCAAGGTCCACTGCAGGTCACAGTGACTCTCCAGAGTAGCTGCCTTCCATGCAGGGACCCAGCAATGCTGCTTTTTTGTTTGTTTGTTTGTTTGTTTGTTTTGTTTTAAACAGAGTTTCACTCTTGTTGCCCAGGCTGGAGTGCAATGGTACCATCTTGACTCACTGCAACCTCTACCTCCCACATTCAAGCGATTCTCCTGCCTCAGCCTCCCAAGTAGCTGGGATTACAGGCGTAAGCCACCACACCTGCCTAATTTTTGTATTTTTAGTAGAGACAAGGTTTCCCCATGTTGGTCAGGCTAATCTCAAACTCCTGATCTTCGGTGGTGATCTGCCCGTCTCGGCCTCCCAAAGTGCTGGGATTACAGGTGTGAGCCACTGTGCCCGGTCTGCTGGCTGCTTTAATCTGATGTCTCCTCCCTTCTCACTGCAAGAACTCCTCTGCTCACGGCAATAGGAGAAGCGATAACCCCTCCTAACTCCAAGAAGGTGAGAAATGTTTCTCCTGTGTGCCAGAAAGGAGAAATTAACAGTAAATAGCTATTCACTGAAAGGTTCTTACCACACTTTCACCAGCTTCCTGGATACAGATTCAAGGTCTGCTGTCCTGGCTGCCTAGTTCTACCTTCACCCCTGAATCTGGCTTCTGCCCACACCCTAGTGACACCGCTCATTGTTCCACTGACCAGTGGTGAACCCTATAGTCTTGGCTCTTCCTGTTTGGACCACAGGATCTCAGCTTCCTGCAGATTCCCCTTCACTGGGCTGTGCTTTGATGTTCTGCTCTGGGCTTTTCTTGACAGTCACTACAAGAAACAACCAGAACTCATTTTCTGCATTTGCTGTGGGATTCCTGTTGAAGAGCTTGTCTATATATGCCCCTATTTTCCTTAAGTAAACTCTAGGTGAAAAATAATTTTAGAATTTAGTGCCAGCAAAAGTACCATCTCTCCTAAGAAAATATGCTTCTATTACATAACGGTCTGCGTTTCACTTTTTATCATGCCTTGCCAAGAAGCTTAGAACTAAACTGGAGAATCAGTTTTAACAGGAATACTTAGTATTTTAGCTAACTTGCTTCCTCTTTTCCTCAGTCTCATCTTACCCCTCCAGCCTACTTGAAAAGTACCTTTTCTTCTGAGATCTTCCATTTATTTTTGAAAGTGCTAGGAGTATAAAAACATTAAAGCAACCTTTTCTGACCAGATTGAGGTGATGTGTCTGCAGCATTCCTAACCCTCCAGCACAGCTGAAGTGTCCCACAGACCCCTGCCAGGCTGAAATAAGTCACAGTCTTGTTAGAGAAGGTGGGAGAAGGTGCCCCGGGCAGAGAAACCATCAGCTCAGGCCCCATCCTTCCAAATTATCCTGCTGAGCCCCAGGGCAGAGGCAGGAGATCCTGAAGAAGGAGCAGATTCTGAAGCTGTGGCTCTGCGGCACTCTCCCCTTCCAACAGGGGCAGGCCTGGGGAAAGTCAGTGAATGCATAGAACAAGCAGAAGATACCAAAAGTCTAAGGAGAGAGCCTTTGTCCAAGAGGAGGAGCCGAAGATCAAGGTTTGAGTATCAGGGTTATGCTATCATCACAAAACTAAATGGGATGTTTTCTCTATGCTCTGGGACAAATTAAATGGCACAATAATTATAATTGGAAGTTTTGATCAAATTTACCCAGCTGTTCTTTGAAATCTATTTGACTCCTTGTGTCCCTCCTGTTTCTATAATCTGTGATTGCTAATTTCACTGAGATTTTCTATTCTATTAGCAAACATAGTGCATAACATTCATTCATTTGAAACTGATGCCTTTTGCTCATATGGTGATAACCCTTTCTCAAGTCTAATGTTAGATAAGTCTCCCTTTATTGTCCTAGTTAACCCCATTAGAAATCTGACGGTTTTGCTGTTTTTTTTTCAAGGGATTTGGATGGTTTATCATTTCTAATATTTTCTGCCTTACTGGTTTCTTCATTTTGTTCTTGCTGACTCCTTCCTTAAGTCTGTTTTGTTGGGGAGGTAGAGGAAGATTCACCTTTTTAGATAAAGGTAGGGTTAATTTTTATTCTTTTTATCAAACAATATAAACAATGCTATACCATTTCCTCTAAGTACAGTTTTGGTTGTATCCCTTGGGTTTGGATATGTAGGTTCTTGTTACTGTGGTTTTACTTGACAAATGATTTGTTTTCTAGCCACATTGCTTCATAACTAGAGAACAGGGCCTCCGAGGCTTTTACCTTTTCAAATGTGTGGTGGTTTCCTAACGATTCAGTGTGGTGGGGCAGCTCCTGACACAGCTACCTAAAAGCTCCATCTCCTGATATTCAGAGCTCAGGTTTATTACTTACTTTATCTTTTTGTTTTGTTTTGTTTTGTTTTGTTTTTGAGGCAGAGTTTTGCTCTTGTTACCCAGGCTGGAGTGCAATGGCGTGGACTCGGCTCACTGCAACCTCTGCCTCTCGGGTTCAAACGATTCTCTTGCCTCGGCCTCCCAAGTAGCTGGGATTACAGGCACCCACCACCATGCCCGGCTAATTTTTTGTATTTTTAGTAGAGACGGGGTTTCACATGTTGGCCAGGCTGGTCTTGAACTCCTGACCTCAAGTGATCCACCTGCCTCGGTCTCCCAAAGTGCTGGGATTACAGGCATGAGCCACCACACCCGGCCTATTTTATCATTTTTATAATGTAGAGATTCCCTAATCTTTAACTTCTTCATTTATTAATTTATTCCTTTTTCTGTTCTCGGATATATTTTTTTAACTTATTGAGTATGATACTTGTTTTATCTATTTTGTTTTTTATTAACATAAATATTCAAGACTATAAATTTTCCTATAAACACTTTAACCGCATCACCCATATATTATAAAATGTATCCATCCTGGCGAACACCGTGAAACCCCGTCTCTACTAAAAATACAAAAAATCAGCCGGGCGCGGTTGCGGATGCCTGTAGTCCCAGCTACTGGGAGGCTGAGGCAGGAGAATGGCATTAACCCAGGAGGTGGAGGTTGCAGTGAGCCAAGATCGCGCCACTGCACTCCAGCCTGGGCAACAGAGTGAGACTCCATCTAAAAAAAAAAAAAAAAAAAGTAAGATTTTCCTTAAATTTACATATTTATATATTATTAGAGTATATATAAAGGTTTTCATTATGTTTATTATATATATTTCATTATTATAACTTATGATCTTTGGAACTTCCAAAATGTGTTAGAATAGTTAAAATTTGGTTTTGTTGGTTTCAATTTTGAATAATAGGCATTTCTGCTTTCTAGGATTGTCCATTTGTATTTGTGTTGCATTGAGATGGAGGAATGTCTGTAGTTGCTCTGCTTCCTGGAATGTATTGTGCTTGCTGTTGTGAATTGCAGCAGGGTTTTTATGTTTTTTTACTTTATTATTTTAACTGACAAGCAAGAATTTCATATACTGATGGAGTACAGCATGATGTTTTGATATCTGTGTACACTGTAGAATGCCTAAATCAAGTTAAGATATACATTCCCTCACATATTATCGTTTTATATGGCGAGGACACTTAAAATCTAGTCTCTTAGTCATTTTCAAGTATACAACGTATTGTTATTAACTACAATCACCATGATGTTCAATAGACTTCTTGAGCTTATTCCTCCTAACTGAAATGTTGTGTTCTTTGACCAGCATCTCCCCAACTCCCCCATCTACACACACACACACGCACACACACGTGGGCACACACACAAGCACGCACACACACACGCACGTGCACACACACGCACACAAGCGCACGCACACTCAGTCTCTGTAGCCACCATTTTACTCTGTTTCCATTAGTTTCACTTTTTCAGATTGCACATGTGAAACTGTGCAGCATTTGTTTTTCTGTGCCTGGCTTAGTTCACTTAACATAGCGTCCTCCAGGTTCATCCACGTTGTTACAAATGGCAGAATCTCCTTCTTTTTAAAGCCGAATAGTATTCAATTGTGTACATGTACCACATGTTCTTTCTCCATTCATCTGTTGATGGACACTTGGTTGTTTCATATCTTGGCTATTGTGAATAGTGCTGCAACAGACAGGGGAGTGCAGGTATCTCTTCCACATACTGATTTCATAGCCTTTGGATATATACCCAGTAATGGGATTGCTGGATCATATGGTAGTTTTGTTTTCCTTTTTTTTGAGACAGAGTCTCACTCTGTCGCCCAGGCTGGAGTGCAGTGGTGTGATCTCGGCTCACTGCAAGCTCCGCCTCCCAGGTTCACGCCATTCTCCTGCCTCAGCCTCCCGAGTAGCTGGGACTACAGGCGCCCACCACCACACCTGGCTAATTTTTTTTTTTTTTTTTTTGTATTTTTAGTAGAGACGGGGTTTCACTGTGTTAGCCAGGATGGTCTCGATCTCCTAACCTTGTGATCCGCCCGCCTTGGCCTCCCAAAGTGCTGGGATTACAGGCGTGAGCCACTGCACCCGGCCTTGTTTTCCATGTTCTTTGGAATATACATGCTGTTTCCCATAATGGCTGTACTAATTTACATTCCCACCAACAGTGAGCAAGGGTTCCCTTTTCTCCACACCCTCACCACTTTTATCTTTTTTTTTTTTTTTTTTTTGAGATGGAGTTTCACTCTTGTTGCCCAGGCTGGAGTGCAGTGGCACAACTTCGGCTCACCACAACCTCCGCCTCCCTGCAACCTTCGCCTCTCGGGTTGAAGCAATTCTCCTGCCTCAGCCTCCTGAGTAGCTGGGATTACTGGCGCCCGCCACCATGCCCGGCTAATTTTTGTTTCTTGGTAGAGACAGGGTTTCACCATGTTGGGCTCCCACAACTTCTCTCCCAGGAGCTACGGGTTGGGACTTGGGCCCCTCTCTTCTGCTTCTCGTTACAGCCCTGACATCCCAGTTTGCCTTCACACCCAGCCCAGTGTAGATGGCCCTTGTTAAGATGAAACTTTAATTTTCCAACAGTAGGCAAAACGGTGGGCGTGTCACTTCCCTCTCTAGAGAGTTTCCTGATTTAGCAAACATAATTAATCCCATCCATTTGACCTCAATGTCCTTTTCACATTTCCCTCCAATACAGATGTTCTCAAACCCTGGCTGTTTATTAAAGCCATCTGAGGCACTTTCAGACAATACCCATGCCCAAGCCCCCAGACCATTCCGTCAGAATGGAGAGGGGAGCACAGGTGATTCTCCTGCAAAGCCAGAGAACCCCTCTTCTTAGCTCCCCATAAAACTCCTGTTCAAAGCCTTAGGCCAGTATCAGTTATTTCTTTCTCCAAGCGAGATAATGCAGAGGCATTTTACTGTGTATAATTTGTGATGCTATCACTTTTTCCCCAGGCCGTCTTTATGCAGACCAACCCAAGATGAAATGTTCGGGGTTGGGCAGGCAGATCCTTCAGCCCGAGTGGTGTGGCAAGCTGGAGGGAGGGGGAGGCGTGGCACCAACTCTGGGGAAGTTTCATGACAGCGAAGCTCAATCATCACAGCTGAACACCCAGGTCAGGTGAGGGAGGCCCCAGCCATCCCAAGACGGAGCAAAGCCCTCGGCAGTCAAGTTAGTTGGGCTGGACCAGGCCCCGGAGCTCAGAGGTGGAAGTAGTTTCAGACTGATGAGTTCAACAGGATGATTTTGTTCTGTGAAGTGGAAGCAGCTGGCAAATTGGAGGCTCTCACAGAGCCTGTCTCTTATAAGTAATGGGAAATGAGAAATTGTCCTCAGCAAAAACAGAGGGAGCTCCAAGGAGCCACAGTTTAAATGTCCACCCAGGCCAGGAGCGGTGGCTCATGCCTGTAATCCCAGGACACTGGGAGGCCGAGGCGGGCGGATCACTTGAGGCCAGAAGTTTGAGACCAGCCTGGCCAACATGGTGAAACCCCATCTCTACTAAAAATACAAAAATACAAAAATTAGCCAGGCTATGGTGGCGCACACCTGTAACCCCAGCTATTCAGGAGGCTGAGGCGGGAGAATCACTTGAACTCGGGAGGCAGAGATTGCAGTGAGCTGAGATCGTGCCACTGCACTCCAGCCTGGGCGACAGAGAGAGACCCTGTCTCAAAAAAAAAATATATATATATACATATATATATCCACCAGAGACAAGCTCCTCTAACACAGACACCTGCATGTAAACTATAGGCACAAAGGTAAAATAACAGGAAGGGCCCTAGATTTGGGAGTCAATATAACTGGATTCAAAGGCCAGCCCTGCCCTCCCCTTAAATCCCAGCACATCTTTGCCAACATTGGTTTATCAAACTTTTAATGTTTTCCAACAAAGAGGTGATAAATGTTATCCCATTCTTTTAATTTACATTCCAATGACATTTTAATAGAACTATAAAACACCAGAGTTGAAAGAGACCTCAGTGATCAAGTACTCAAATGCCTTCGTTTAAAGAATTTTTAAATTGAGTATAAGTAATACATTGACACATTATCATGGTAAAATTATATATATATTATATATATATATAGAGAGAGAGAGAGAGAGAGAGAGCAATCTATTGAATAGAAAATGAAAATTCCACTTTGCACCTTCCTCTGACTCTCTTACTGAGGGTAAATTGATGTTCATCATTGCTACATGATGGGTAATTTGCTACATATCTACTTGCATATGTAAATGCATAAAAGTATAGTGAGTTGTGGTATTTTACATAAAAGATATATAGCCGTATATCTTTTTTTGTAATTATTATTTTCTAACAACACATTCTAAGGGTGTCTTAACACATATCTCAGAAATCTTTCTGTATCAGTACACATAGACCTGTTCCACTCTTTGCTCCATAATATCCTATAGTATGGGGTGTATTTGTTATCCATTGCTGGATAACAAATTACCCCCCAAATTTAGCAGCTTTAAAACAAAAACAATTTATTATTTCACACAGATTCTGAGATCAGGAGCCCTGAAACAGCCCCTCATGGTGGTTCTGGATCAGGGCCTGTCGTGGGGTTGCAGCTGAGCTGGCAGGGCTGTGGTCATCTGAAAGCTTGATTGGGGTTAAAGGATCCACAGATAAGATGGCTAACGCCCATGGCTGTTGGCTAAAGGACTCAATTCCTTTCCACGTGGGCCTCTCTACAGGGCTGCTCACAACTAGGCAGCTTCCCCAGGGCAAGGGATTCAAGAGCAAGGAGAGAGAAAACCCAAGATGGAAGCGGCTTAGGTTTTACTAAGCCCGGGAGTGCCATGCCATTCCTTCTGTTACAGGTAGTGAGACAGGCATGAGCAGGGCAGGAGAGGGCTCTGGGGGAATGTTGGGTGATGGTTTGGCAATGATCACACTGCCTCTCTAAAAGTGATAAATTGGCAGCCAGTGCCAGGGAGAGGCCATTTCCTCATGGACCACACCTGCTGCACTAAAGTGTTCATTGAATGCAGGTGCCAGGGAGACACAACTTCCCAGGCATGGTGCATTAAGAGACAAAATGGCAGAGTATGACCCTCTGGGAGCACCCCACAAGAAAAGGGAAGAAAGCCTCAGGTGGGTATGTGTACAACTTCCTATACACACTGTGTAAGGGTAAGGAGGGCACTGCACATGCAGGCAGCTCACCCTAAGGTGAGAATCACGAGAAAGGGGCCAGCCCAGAAAGTCCTCGGATCAAGGTTAAACGCTGCACTTGTTCTGACGTCGCCCGCTTGGGGTCTTTTCCCAGTGTACTTTCTTTCCTGGTCTAAAGGCTTTATAAAAACCTTCCACTCCTCCTCTTGCCTTCCTCTCTTTTTCAGCCTTAGGCCCGTCAGTCAAATTCTTTCTTCTGAGGAGGCAAGAATTGAGGTTGCTGCAGACCCACACGGATTCACCGCTGGTAACTCAGATACCTTCCAACCTTCCACTGGTAACAATTCTGCCATATGCTGTTGGTCAAGCAGATCTTCCCTGGTTCAGTGTGGAAGAGGACTACACTGGGGGGATGCCAGGAGGTGGAGATCACAGGGATTGACTTGGAGACCTGCTGCCACATATGGTCACCAGGGTTATTCTCCATTCTCACAGGTGGCCTCCCGTTTCTCATGCTCACAGGCGGCACTGCCATGAGCATCCTTGGGCATGCTTCTGTGAGTTTTTTTGTTTTGTTTTGTTTGTTTGTTTTGTTTTTGAGATGGAGTCTTGCTCTATCACCCAGGCTGGAGTGCAGTGGTGCGATCTCGGCTCACTGCAACCTCCACCTTCCAGGTTCAAGCGATTCTCCTGCCTCAGCCTCCTGAGTAGCTGGGATTACAGGTGCACGCCACCATGCCCAGCTAATTTTTGTATTTTTACTAGAGACGGGGTTTCACCATGATGGCCAGGCTGGTCTCGAACTCCTAACCTCAGGCAATCCACCCACCTCTGTTCCCACTGAGCATGCCTCTTAATGCCCAGGTACGTCTCTTCTAGTCCTAGTGGTAGAATGGCTGCAATTCTTGCATTTTCAAATGGGAAACTGAAACCAGAGGAAGGTGACTTCTCCAAGGTCATACTGTTAATCGCCTACGAGTCCAGGATGACATCAGTCACCTGACTTCCAGCCTACTTTATTTTCAGAGCCACTCTGTAGGCAAAATACACATGGCCTGAGATTTCAGGAAGTATGTTGAGATAAAGCCTGGCTGGGAATTGCCAAGAGTCAGTTTCCAGAACGACAAAACGTGTAATGGCTAATCTTGCTTTGTAGGCACTACATAAACGTCACTACACTCAAAGCCTAGATTAGCCAATGCATGAATGTCTAATCTGCCTTGATTAAAAGGAAGCTGGTGGAAATGAGGAATCTTTTCCATGCTGTCATTAGCAGAAACTTCGGAGTGAGACAGACCCGGGTTTGAGTTCTGGCTCTAGCTCTGTGACTGTAAGCCAGCCACATCATTCCTGTGTCATGGTTTCTCCATCTGTAAAATGGGAATCATCAGAGTACCAACTTCACAGGCTGTTCAGTGGATGATGTGATGGTGTAGATCATGCACTCAGCGAGGGGCTGGCAGGCTTCCCACAGGAGCTGCTGCTATTTGTATTCTCCCTGTCTGGCCTACTTCATTTATCCATCAAGCTTCCTGAATGAATGGATTCCATTTTCTAAAAAATAGATGGTACCTGGAGAGCTCATTTTATTCCATTTTCCCACATCTTGACTCTGCTGTTAATACCATCCATTATTTTGTGGCCTGCTTTTTGTTGCATACTGTCAGATTTGTGATGAATGTAGCACAGCGTGGGCGTGAAGTCAATACAGAGCCTCCTGAGAGCTGCCCCTGTGGCCCAGCACAGACTACTTCTTGCCCCTTGTGTGGCTGGCTGTATGTGCAACTGTCTCTGCGGGCAGGACCTGAATCCTCCTCACCTCTGTGGCTGTAATGTGTCTGGAATGAATGAATGAATGAATGAATGAATGAATGAACAAATGAAAAAAAGGGATCGGCCGGGCGCGGTGGCTCATGCCTGTAATCCCAGCACTTTGGGAGGCCGAGGTGGGCAGATCACAGGAGGTCAGGAGTTCGAGACCAGCCTGACCAACACGGAGAAACCCCGTCTCTACTAAAAATACAAAATTAGCTGGGCGTGGTGGCACGTGCCTGTAATCCCAGCTACTTGGGAAGGTGAGGCAGGAGTATCGCTTCACGCCGGGGGCAGAGGCTGTGGTGAGCTGAGATCGCACCATTGTACTCCAGCCTGGGTAACAAGAGCGAAACTCTGTCTCAAAAAAAAAAAGGATCAATAGAACCAAATCAACTGAAATGAATGGGTCACAAAGGACATCGCTGGAACATTGAATTATTGCCTGGATTTGGATTTAAAATGTTAAGAGTATTGTAGAGATTTAGAATAACTTTGAGTCCTCCAACATCCAGCAGAAGGAAAGATGGGATACTGTGGGTCGAAGGATGGGGTACTCTGGGTTGAAGGATGGGGTACTGTAGGTCGGGAAAAAGGAAGAGGGGCCAAGTATTGCGCCGGTTTTCTGTGCGATGAGTTTAAGGTGTTTTCGGGCCTCCAGAGTAGACCTCATCTGCTGGGTTGGGTTTAAGGGAGAGACCCATGGCTTTTTACCAGCTGTGCAGCAGGTTAGCAAACAGGCTTTTACCCTGAAGCCACTGGATATCCCCGAGCTTCAGGAGAGAACCCTGGAAACCCTACTGCTCTTCAGAATCAACAAGCCCTGGAATGTTTCTGGCCAGAGCCAGGCAAGGACAGAGATTTAAAGGGGATGTGACAAGTGTCCCAGGTAAGTGACACCCAGGCCCAAACTGGAAGGGTACCAGCATTCTCCCTGTTTGAGGATCCTTGTCAGGGACCTCAGCCATAGGGAACATCTGAGCTTGGCCTCTGAGCCCTTCCGTCCACTCCTAGCACTGCCTCCACAGCCCCAAAGAAGACCCCACTTCTCCTCGAGGGTGGCTGGCCTGCTGGCAAAGACCATTTCCTCCTCCTCCACTTGGGAAGCCAGGGGAGCCTGGCCCGGCCCATCAGCTGGGCCAGAGGGCGGTACTGCCCTGGGGTGCCCTGAGGGAGAAGGGCAGGGCTCCGGGTGCCTGTGCAGTGCTGGGCCTCAGCAGGGGCCTGGCCCAGTGTGACCGCAGCGCCACAATAGCCAGGCTCCCCCCGAGGGCATCTTGTACGCAGGCTGATACTTTGAGCTTACTCATTCCAAACCCCTTTGCTGTCCTTCCTCAGGAAGCTTCCTATTGAAAGATAAATGCTCTGTCTGTGATCAAACAGATTTACATTTATTTACTTTCCTTTCCTCCCAGGACTGCGCCAGCCCAGACAAGTCCAAGAGGAGGATTCCAGGCAGTTAAGATGGTTTCCGGAGAAGCCTGGAATTTCCCCGTAAGCACAAGCTCGGCAGAAAAAGGCAGGGTCCCTCGGCAGCCAGGGCAGGGGCTGAGTCAGTCCCAAGTCTCCCTGGCAAATGGATCACCCCTTAGGGTGGGAAGAGCCCCCCAGCTGTGTGGGGAACCTGGCTAGAGGTTGCTGAACCTCTGCTTTCAAGGAGTCTTGTGACCCCGGGAGCATAGAACAATCGCGGAGGCGCTTACATCCAAAATCCATTTTCCTTCAAAAAAGTGTCCAGGTGGAGGTAAAGAAAGAGGACCCTGTATACTTTGGTAAATCTGTGATTTAGCTACAATGTAACTGGGCCTTGGGAACCCAGGGTGAGGTTTCTTATGTGACATCTCCTGGAAAAGCTCCGCTCAATTCCTGAAAAATCCCTTATCAGACACCGACAGGAAACAGGGATTTCCAGGGAAATGGATGTGGAAGGCACCTGAAGGCCATTCCAAAACTCCAAAGTTTTTATTTATTTTACTAACTTAGGTGACTTAGACATACAACTTCCTGCAAACAGTGCATTCAGCTTTGTGTTCCTAAGCAAATAAATGGAACAGAGGCCACCAAAACTAGGCCCGCTGGAAAGGGCAGAGCAGATGCCCTTACACCCATAGCCCCTGGGGGTCATGCCTGTGAGTTCTTGCATATCAGCTTGTGACAGCGTTGTGACCTGCCCCTTTGTCACCTTGCCACCACATCACCCCCCAGGGGTCTGGGCATTTCCTCGAAGCTGCTTCCAGGACAGGATCAGGAACGTGTTACTTGGGTGGGGGGCTGGGAGGGAGGCAAGGAGCTCTGGTTCTGCCCATGTCCTCCAGCCTCGAGTGTGCAACTGCTCTTCTGGGAACTTGGGTCTCCTCATCTGAAACACAGGGAATTAGAGAAGATGATTTTGTAACGCTCGAAGGCTCTGTAATCCCCAAAAACATGCTCTAAAGGGATCTCCAGTCCAGCATATCAACCCAAACAAAAGACAACGCTGTGGTTACTTGTTCAAATGCCTCTTTCTTCTTGTAAACAGTGCACTCCCAATGACAGAGGCCCTCTGCTACTCATCATCTAGGTAGCTGACAGGTGGCTGCCTGCGGTACCTGATGTTTGGACAGACAAACAAATGACCAGGTGACACCCAAGTGCGATTCTCTCTGATCGCCATCCTGTAGCCTGTCTCCTTAGCTGGGCTCCAAGCTCTTTGGGGAGCGAGGAACAGATCTGTTCTACATAGAATCTCCAATCAGAGCTGACGGTGGCTCAGGAAGCACCAGGGTGCCCAGGCTAGTTGTTGAAATATTGAAGTACTTCTGTGCAGTTGCTGAGCCTGAGAGAGCCTCTCTCCCCTCCCCCGCCACCAAGCCCAACATCTATCCGAAGGTTTCCTCTCCACCATCCAGCCACTGAAGGGTGGTGACTGATGTAGCAGGGCTGTAGGCCTCTGCTCCAGGACTGTATATGCCTGGTGCCATTCTGATTGGCCAGCGCCCTTGCCATACTGTCGTTAAATGTTGAGTGGTAGACCAGCCCAATGCAGGTGATGGGGAGGGAGAGCAGATGACTGGTAGGTGCCACCTGTCACCTGAGAATAGATATATGTAGGCCCTGCTTTCCCAATGGACTGAGAATGTTCCCAGCAAAGAAGTGGGCAGTGTGTGCTGCCTGACCCCAAGAAGACACATGCCCAGATCCCTAGCTGGACAGAACGAGGACCTCCAAGCACACCTGCAGGCAAAGGAATGGGCTGAGTCTCAGCCCCCCGGACTTACGAGCCAGGCGGCCCCACCTGTCTAAACTTGCGTTTCCTCTTCTGTACACAGGAGACAGTTAAACCTACCTTCCAGTTTGCGTGAGGACTTGTGTCTAACACGGGCTCTGATCTGTACCCACAGGTAGGGCTTTCCCTCCTGACAAAATCTTATTTTGATAAATCAGGACTTTAAAAATGACCAAGTGGTTAAGCAAGTGCATTCCGTCTGTGCAGATGCATCAAGCTGTTCGCTTACCTACACAATTCTGTATGTAGAGCAGACGATGATCCAATGCCAAAACATCAAATATATATTCTTAGGCATCAAAAGTATTATCAATAAAAGTTAAGGTGCTAAAAAAGAATGGCTGAGCAAAATCTAGAATTTGAGTCCTAGAGAAAGTTCCTGAGACAGGTCTCTTTCAATCCTGAGTTTCCTGACAGCAGGGGCTGGGAGCATATCAAAACAGTCCTTGCTAGAATTTTCCTCCTAAAGCTAAGTGTTTAACCGGTGCATTTTAGCAACAGCAGAGCTGGAAAAATATATCTGGGTAGAAGTAGCAGACAGACAGCGGTCAGCGAGCCAGGAGGTCGCAGGCCACAGGCCTTGGGCAGTCACACCTGCAGAGTAAACACTGAGTCAGACTGGGTTAATTATGCAGAGATTGATTCTGGCTTGAAAGAGGAAGGGAGAGCCGCCTCACTGCATACTCGGAGGTGGGCCTTGGCTAGGTGGATCTAACAATTGATTATTTTATTTCAGATCCAGGGAGTGTTGTGATATTGACCTTCAAGGTTCAGAGAAGAGTGTTTAGGACACACAGTGAAATAGACAGCTGCAGTCCAAGCCACAGTGGAATTTCTAGTGTCCTCTGCCCTTCTGGGGCAGGCTAGGGCGGGGTGGAGCAGGGAGACGGCTTCAGGCCTTTCTAATTTAAAAGGACAAGGACCAGGGGCTGGATGCCTTTCCGTTTCACACCCGCGGCTTCCCACTTCAGGAGTGTTCCTGTGCTTCCCACCTTGGCCTGTCTTCAGACGGGCACCTGGACGTGGGGCTTGGAGATCCAACTAGTCCCCAAGTTCACCCAAGACAGTTTGTTCCCAGGAGCTCATTTAACACTAGGCTGTTTGCAAGTCAAAGTGCGTCCCGTGCAAACAACATCCCAAGAGCACTGAGCGTGGCCAGCTGACCCACGAAGTCTATGACCCATCCCTGTACCTTGAAGTCCTGAAAGCTCTGGACCTACCACCATGTTGCCACGAGCACACACTCTAGATCTGAACTGCTCATTCGGTGGACGCTGGGAAGTGGGGACCCTGTGTCCACCAGTGTTCCTTCAGCACACAGCCACTGAGTGCCTGCTCGGGGCCAGGTCCTTATTTAGGGAAACCAGAGAGATGCCTCGTATACCTCAAAGGTCTCAGTTTAGGGCAGAATTCAGGACAGGTTCCAAATACCTACACCTGAGACCAAAAATGGTCCTATTAGGAGAGGTAGATAATGCCTGGAGAGGGGATTTCAAGGTGGGGAGGCCACATCCAAGTGGGGTGGAAGCAGGGAACTGAAGAGAAACTTGGGAGGATGGGCTGGACTTTGAAAGGCAGGGAGGGGAGGGCGTCCCAGGCCGAGGATAGGTGTGAGCAATTTCCCTTTCCCCAGGCTTTGGAAGGGGAACCGGGGAGGAAGGGCAGGCATGAGCCACGGCAAGGTAGGAACACCTAAGGGAGGCAGCAGGCGAAGCCCCCCAGCTCCTGCCCAGGCCCCTCCACTGTGCGTGGAGGGATGCAGGCGTGGCTCCGGCCCCTCTGCTCTGCATGGAGGGATGCAGGCCTGGCTCCGTGGGAAAGGTGAACTGAGGCACAGAGTCTCCTTCCCCAGCGCTGAGGACTGGGGAGTGGGTCTCCAGCAGCTCCTCACACTGCCTCCTGGCCGGGGCCTCAGAGAAGCCAGCCCAAATCCTGGCCCGGATCAGAAAAATCCCAGGTGATTAGATCCAGAGGGGATGGAGTCCCAACCTCTCCAGGCCACTCTGGAGGCCGAGGCTCTGAAGAGAAAGTGCCTGCCAAACGCTGCCCTTGGCCTAAGGAGCTTCCTGCAGCCAGGGCCTCACCTGCAAAGGGCTATGAAATCACCTGTTTTGCTTCATGATGATGAAGATTAAGTTTAAATCATATACGTCTGTGGGGGTGAAGAACAGCACCTTGAATCCCTTGCAGGTGGAGAGCGTGGAGGCGCAAAGGTTCTACTGGCTCTTCCCAGGCGCCCCCACACAAACTGGACTCCAATCCAGGAGGAAGCACGGAGGCGGCCTAACCTGGGCCCTCCTCCATCCACGGAGCTGAGGGCCCAGAGAGGGAGGGCAACTCGCCCTCCACCACACCCCGCACAGCAGCTCCCTCCTTCCCCAGGGCCCAGCCCTGACACCTCCTGTCCCTGCCGGAGCCCTGCACCTGAGGACCCAGAGCCACGCGGGACCTTCTTTCACAGCCAGGAGGCGTCGGGGAGCTTCCCAGGCTGACTCTGCTTCCCGTGCTTTCCCCACCGCCCCCGCCAGAAACTGGGGCCCAAATGGCAGCATCCCCACCCCACGGCGCCCCAGCGCTGCAAAGCGCAGCCCTTCCGTAAACGGCCTGGGGAAATGAAGTTGGTGGACTCTGCCTGTCCTCGTCCGGTGTCACCTCCTGCCGGCCTCCTCATTCTGCCAGGGCTTCTGGCTCCTCACCCGGGCACAGAGGCCCCTTCAGCAGCAGGGATGGGGGCATTCGGAGAAGGACTGGGGCCGGCTGATCCTGGCCTGACAGAGGCCTCCTCACCCACTGGCACCAGCCCTGCCCTGAAGACGTGGTCGTAGCATCGATGCAATCGGGGGGGAGCGTGGTGGGTGGGGCACAGCCTGAAGGAGGAGGTCGAGCAAACACGTGGCCTCAGCTGGGACGCAGCACTGTCTGCAGAGCCCCTCGAATCCAGCTCCACATCTGGTTCTCGGGGGCGCAGGGCTGCCCGTGCAGGATTATCGACCCTGTTTTCAGGGAACAGGAAACTGAGGCCAAGCGAGGGGTCCTGAGCCGCCCAAGGTCAGAGAGGTGGTGAGGGGGAGAGATGCAACAGGGGGGTCCCCAGAGTAAGGGCGGGCAGGGCGGATGCCTGTGCTGAGATGTGGCGCCGAGGCCTTACGAGCACCCACTGAAGGTCTGTTCAGTCACCCCAAGAATGTCTGGAGCCCGAGTATCATCTGGCAGCCACCCTGGAGAAGGAACCAAGAACGCGGGGGGAGTCGGAAAGGGGGGCCCACCGAGGGGAGAAAGGGGTCGGCGCCGCTGTTCGGGCTGGTTGCTTTCTGGGCTCCTGAGCCCGGTGCTGTCCCACCCTCCGGGAAAGTCTAAAGCAAGAGGTGCCACCGCCCTCCGTGTCCTGCAGGCTGAGGAGCAGTGACGCTATTCAGCAAGATGAGAAACACGGGCAGGAGGTAAGAACTGAGATCTCCTTCCTGTCGGCATCTGACGGGAGGAGGCATGTGAATCCCAGGAGAAAACAAAACCTAGAAAGCGGCTGAGCCAGGAGACCCCTGGGCGGTGGGCTTAGCAAGGGGCAGGGGTTACCCACAGTCCTCCCTAGCACCTCGTCCCCATCCTCTGCCTTCACACCTGGGACTCTCTTCCATGCTGGGGGAAACCTTCAGATGAATTGATTCTCGCTGAGGTTGTGCAGACCCCAGTGCACAGCCCCCAACCACAACCCCTTCCCTCCTGGCAGAGCTCGCTCTGGAGCAGCTGGAGGTCCAGCTTGATGTTTTCCCAGGACAGTCAGAAATCAGACCCAGCCAGCCCACCCCCCTGCAGGTCCACTCTTTGAATACCAGATGGCGGGGGCAGGGGAAGTCTCCTTAAAGCAAAAAGGAATAAAATTTGGAGACACAGTTTGCGGGGAACCAGAGGCCCACTCGGCTGTGGCAGCCACTGCTTGTTAGTCCTGATCTTTGTTCCCCGCTCTTCCATAGGATATTAAGCCGAGCACATAGATACTCAGAATAAAGACTGCATTTCCCAGCATCTCTTGCAGCAGATATGGCCACATGTCTAGGATCTAGTCAACAGGTAAATGCAACATTAGGGACTTTTCTTACAGGAAGTGGTCATACCCTTTCCTTCCTTCCTGGTGGCTGGAATACAGGCGTAATGGCTGGAACTGAAACAGCCATTTTTGATCATGAAGTAATCTTGGGAATTAAGCCAAGTTTAGAGAAGAAACAAGACAGAAGCATACTGTGTGTCCCTGACCCCACGGAGCTGCCACACTGGCCTAGCCCACCGACATTTTGAAAGTTTTATGGAAAAAAAATAGCTTTATAGTTTAAGTTGTTTGTTATTTGGGACAAAGTCAATATGAAATAACACACCTTTTTTTTGTTGTTTGAAGTAAACTTTTGTTAGTTTTTTAAATAATTTTTATTTGTATTTCAATAGTTTGGGGGGGTAAAGGTGGTTTTGGGTTACATGGGTAAGTTCTTTAGTGGTGATTTCTGAGATTCTGGTGCACCCATCACCCAAGCAGTGTACACTGTACCCAATATATAGTCTTTTATCCCTCATCCCCTCTCAACCTTCCCCTACCCCAGCCCCAGAGTCGATTTTATCATTCTTATGCCTTTGCATCCTCACTGCTTAGCTCCCGCTTATAAGTGAGAACATATGATGTTTGGTTTTCCTGAATCACTTCACTTAGAATAATGGTCTTCAACTCCATCCAGGCTGCTGTGAATGCCATTATTTCATTCCTTTTTATGGCTGTGTAGTATTCCATGGTGTATAAATACCTTATCCACTCATTGGTTGATGGGCACTTAGGTTGGTTCCATATCTTTGCAGTTGTGAATTGTGCTGCTCCAAATGTGTGTGCATGTGTCTTTTTCATATAATGACTTCTTTTCCTCTGGATAGATACCCAGTAGTGGGATTGCTGGATTTAATGATCGTTCTACTTTTAGTTCTTTAAGTAATCTCCATCTGTTTTCCATAGTGGTTGTACTAGTTTACTTTCCCACCAGCTGTGTGAAAGTGCTCCCTTTTCACCGCATCCATGCCAACATCTGTTGTTTTTTGATTTTTAATTATGGCCATTCTTGCAGGAGTAAGGTGATATCTCAAAGTGGTTGAAATTTGCATTTCCCTGATGATGATTAGTGATGTTGAGCATTTTTTCATATGATGGAGGCTGTTTGTATATCTTCTTTTGAGAATCGTCTATTCATGTCCTTTGTCCCCTTTTGCATGGGATTGTTTGTTTGTTTTTTTCTCGCCGATTTGTTTGAGTTCCTTGTAGATCCTGGATATTACCTTTGTCGGATGCATAGTTTGCAAGCATTTTCTCCTCCTCTGGGGTTGTCTGTTTACTGTGCTGATTATTTATCTTGCTGTGCAGAAGCTTTTTAGTTTAATTAGATCCCATTTATTTATTTACTTTTGTTGTTGTTGCATTTGCTTTTGGGTTCTTAATCATGAATTATTCGCCTAAGCCAATGTCTAGAAGAGTTTATCCAAGGTTATTAGAGGTTTTTAGAATTTTTATGGTTTCAGGCTTAGATTTAAGTCTTTAATCCATCTTGAGTTGATTTTTATATAAAGTGAGAGATGAGGATCCAGTTTCATTTTTCTACATGTGGCTTGCCAGTTTTCAAAGATCAGAGCAGAACACACCATTTTTAAAGGAACAAATCCAATCTCCTCCAAGAAACATGCCCAGAGCTCTCCAGGTCAACACAACCTTTCCCACACCTCCACGGCCATCAGAGCATTGGTCACTGGGTGCAGCAAAGCACAGTTGGAGTGCTTCTGCTTGCAGAGTTCTTTCACATGCAGTATTTTATTCATTTTCAGAACAGTCCAAAGTAGGTATTATTGTCAGCATATAATAAAGGTAGGGGCTGGGCATGGTGGCTCACGCCCATAATCCCAGCACTTTGGGAGGTCAAGGCAAGAGGATGGCTTGAGCCCAGGAGTTTGAGACCAGCCTGGGCAACACAGTGAGACTTCATCTCTACAAAAAAAATAAACAGAATTAGCCAGGTGTGGTGGCATGTATCTGTAGTCCCAGCTACACAGGAGGCTGAGATGGGAGGATTGCTTGAGCCCAGGAGGTTGGGGCTGCAGTGAACCAATTGTGCCACTGCCTGGGAGACAGAGCGAGACCCTGTCCCCCCAAATTATAATATAATAAAAAGCTAGGTACACATTGCCAAGTAACGACATGGTAGCGCGAGTGGTGACTGGTTTTCTGGTCTGGAACACTCTTCAGCTTGAATCTAAACGATGAATGCCCGGTTCCATCTCCCTTCCTGCCCTGTGAGCTGGGCGGGCTCATCTTAGGCTCAATGGGGCCTGATTCAGCTTTGATTCCTCAGGGCTGCGGGCCCCACCCACAGCAGGTGCTATGTAAATTTGTGCTGAATTGATTTGCTGTAACTGCAGCAAGGATTGATTTCTTCTAAGCTGCATTTCTTGGTTTGATATTCTCTTAAAAAGAGAAAAACTGCAAGGAAAGAAAAAAGCTGTCCTTTCAGCTGAACCCTTGGCCTGCAGGTAGCCAGGGCTTGGCAGTGTAGGAGGGATTGATCTGGAGGCCTCAGAGACTGAGCAGTGTGGGAGGGAGTGCTCTGGAGGCCTCAGAGACTGCAACAAACTGCTGAGAACCCAGAGCTGTGGCCACAGGAGGTTAAGTGTGGAAGGGACCCTGCAGCCAGGAAGAGCCTCTGAAGCTGGGGGCTCAGAGGTCCAGAGGATTCCACCAGCCCCACTCAGTGGTAGGGGAGACATGAAGAGCTTCAGGGAGGCCAAGAGAAGAGCTGGTTTCATAGCCAGGCTGTTTTGCAAATGTCACTTCATTGAATCTCACAGCATTTCTCTGGGGTTGGATGGCAGGCAACGCCATTTTTTTGATGGGGGATGGGGGATGGGGGATGGGGAACCGAAGAAGGAGAATTACAATGAATTCTTGCCTCCTAGCTATGAGAAAAAGCCACTGCCCCAGATGTACAATGCCCCGTGGGGAGACAGTGACCTGCCGAGTCTAACTCAGGAAAGAATTAGCTGTCCTCACCCCCACATTCACCCAGCGGCTCTGCACTGGTTTCAAAGGCCACCAAGTTCACGCCACACAACAGTTCTTCAAGGACCGAGGCAGACATTGCCCCTTTCGACGGAAGAGGAGCCTGAAACCCAGAGAGGGGAAGTGACTTGCCCAAGGTCACGCGGTGCCAAAGCTAGAGCCCGATGTCCCTCCTCCCACTGCCTGCAGCTCCTAGGTTGACAGTTGATCGTGTGCTTGCCAGTCTGCAAACCCCTCATGCTGCCTTTCACTGTGCCCAGAACGGGAGCCACAGTGGGGAGGAGAGGGTGGTGACAAGCTGAGCCCAAGCCAGCTATTGGAGAGTCCATGCCCCAGGAGTATCTCAGGATCACGGACTGCTAGAGCCAGAAGGACCTTGCAGAAAGTGAGGACACTGAGGCCTCAGAGGGGAGGGGACTTGCCCAAGGCCACACAGACAATGCCCTTTCTCATTGTTATGACAAAGAAACAACCAAACGGTGAGAAGGGGTGTTGTCTGCCCTTGCCCGTTTCCACACACAAGTGGAACCTGGAGTTCTGACCCCTCTTCCGCTCCTCCTGGTGACAGGGGCTCCCTCAGGAACCTGGCTTCTCTGGAGAGGCAGAGCTGTTCTTGGCTACCGAAGCACTCTCCCCTGCCCCCAGAAGTCCTTACTGTCTTTCAAGACCCCATTCAAATGCTACTTCTCTCAAGGATGACAACCCTCCCCCTGCATCCCCGCCCTGTCCCCTCCAACACCTGTGTCACCCGGCCTGCACCTCTCACGGCCCCCTCCCTGGAGTCACGTGTGGTCGCTGACTCATGACTTTGGTGCTTCCCAGGGCATAATCTCCAGGCACAGCCCATGCCCAGGCTCCCCAGGTTCCTGGGGGTATGAGAGACAGACATCAAAGGAGTTCCTGATGGAATGAGGTTAGCTGTGGCTGTGAGAAGCTGGGCTAGAGGACTCTGCAGGTGCCAAGTGCCTGTGGTCACGTGCTCTGGGCCTTGGGTGGCAGTTCCTGAGAGGGTGGCTTGTGAACAGCAGGTCTCGAAGGCTGGAGGAGTGGGCAGCTCCCGGCCAGGCCTTGGCCTAAGGGTTTTCCTGAGTTTAGGGCAAAGGTCCATGAAACAGCTGCTGGGCCAGCCTTCTGGTGACTGGAGCCACAGCCCTTTAAGAAACCTGTTAGTGGGGAACCCTTCAGGGGCTCCAAGTAAAGCCCCCCGCCCCCATTCTCTGGAGGAGAGGTGCCAAGCCAGGTCCCGTCATCCCCAGAAGGGCCTGAGAGGCTCCGGCTGGGGCGGCTGCCCTGGCATCTGCCCCAGGGGGCATGGGCTCAGCCCCAGCAGCCAGCACTCCATTCTGGTCACTGAGCCATGTAACATCCTCCCCAAACCCCACCGTCCCCTGGGTTCCCACCTGCCTACTGTTCTTGACAGATACATATGTATGTTATTTATTTATTTAATTATTTATTTTTGAGACGGAGTTTTGCTCTGTCGCCCAGGCTGGAGTGCAGTGGTACAATCTCGGCTCACTGCAACTTCTTCCTCTCAGGCTCAAGCGATTCCCCTGCCTCAGCCTCCCAAGTAGCTGGGATTACAGGCGCCCACCACCACACCCAGCTAATTTTTGTATTTTAGTAGAGACAGAGTTTCACCATGTTGGCCAGGCTGGTCTCGACTTCCTGACCTCAAGTGATCCGCCTGCCTTGGCCTCCCAAAGTGCTGGGATTACAGGCGTGAGCCACCGCGCCCGGCCTGTATGTTCTTTAAATAAAGAACAGAATAAACCCCAGCGTGAGTAATCTTCAAACTAATGAGAATCATTAAGTCAAGATGAGCATTTTCCCCTCATGTGCCTTAAGTCACTCTCCAGATGAGGGACAGCCAGCTGGCAGCTCAGCTAAAGGGACATGCAGGCTGGAGAGCAAACACCGTGGCCGGGACTGGCTCGGGCCCTGGCTTCTCAGCCCACCCTCTCAGTCGTTCTCTGCCCTCCCAATCCCGTCTAAGTGTCAGTTTTGAGGGATGTGGAAACGCGTGAAACACACCTCCATGCATATGAAAAAGAATGTTTATGACTCTTCTATTGACTTCAGCCCCTCCAAGACAGCCCTCGGGACTCCAGCAGCTGGGGGACTGGATTCCTTCCTCAAAGACAGCCCTTGGGACTTCAGCAGCTAGGGGACTGGATTCCTTCCTCAAAGACAGCCCTTGGGACTCCAGCAGCTAGGGGACTGGATTCCTTCCTCAAAGACAGCCCTCGGGACTCCAGCAGCTAGGGGACTGGATTCCTTCGATTGCCCTTCATCATGTTTCAGTGGGATTCTTGAAGCAGCCTCCTCACTCCACTGTCTCCCTACCCCCACCCTGCTGTCCTCAGAAGCCCCAGAAGCCCACGCTCCTGCAGCCAGAGGGACCATCCAAAGCTTCCATGAGATCTTCTCTCCTCTGCTTCAACCCCCGCCCCCCACCGTGGCTCCCCATCTCCTCAGGCAGTGATGCTCAGCACCCCCATGATGAAACAGCATCACCTGTGAGCTTTAAAAAGACACCCATGCTCAAGCTCCACCCAGACCCCAAAATCAGAATGCAGCGGGGGGCGGGGGGTTGGGGTACAGGGAGGCAGGCATGAACAACTTTTTAAAGCTGCCAGGTAATTCAAATATGCAGCTCAGTTTCAGAGCCATGGGTTTAAAGAGTAAGGGTGGGGAGGGGAATCTCCTTAGAGTGGAATGCTGGTGAGGAAGTAAGTCCGGGCGGAGCCAGGATTTGTAAATCATCACTCAGAGATCACTAATACTGATGCAGGCAGCTCAACAGATGCGAAAACCACTGAGTGAGAAGTTCCTGGGGAGCAGGATCTTCATACAGTCTCAGAGGAAAACCCCACAGATTAATGACAATTTACGAAGGGGAAAGGGCACCTGTACGTTAGGGAACCAAGTTCTAAAACCCAGCATCACCAGCCGTGGGGCTACGCCATGCTCCTCCCACCTGATGCAAGGGCAGGAGACGCCCCCATCCAGGTAGAATTTTTGCCTGTGACGTTCATTCTGAGTCAATGTTCTTCCTCAATCTGAAGAGTGCAGACTGTGGGCCATTCAAAAAAGAGCGGCCCAGGAGGTGGCATTTGAGGGAGGGGCTTCTTCATGGAGCTGCACGTCCTGGGGACTCGGAGGCATCTTGGGGAGGGTACTGGACCTCACAGCGTGTGGGTCAGGAGACACAGGTCAGTTTATTTAAATCTCAGAAGACAGCTCTCTGCTGACCTCAAGGTTACAACTGTTATTATTATCCCAGAGATGCCTTGTCTATCTGAAAAAGGGCCCATCTAGGGTGAGTGAGTGTTAAGGTTGTCCGCTTACAGGTCTGAGCCGGCCTGCCCATCTCTTTGAAATGAGCACAGCCTTAGGACAGGCACGGACTCTGGGCTGGGCTGCCAGACCGGCTCCTCGCCCCTCTCCGTTCCTGTCCCCACAGCCTGACCAGCCAAGTCCACAGGCACCACAGAGCTGTAAATCATGTCCTCCAACCTGCTCGTTGTCCCTGCTGCTGGCTCAGCCAAGGAAGAGGAAATGGGACCTAAATGCTTCCCAAAATCATCCGTATTCCCATCCCCATCCCTCTTCCCCCCAGATTCTGGTGCCCAGGATTTAGCAGAAAAAAATGTGCTGCCCTCCCATGCAAGTCCGCCAGCATTGGCGCCCCCCTCCCCGGCCTTTGTGCCTTAGCTCTCCTTCCTATGTGTACCGCTTCCTCTGCGTGGAAACACCATATGAATGCAATCGATATTTTTCTTACATGGGCAAGGATATCTAGGGATTCCCTGGAATGTCCAAGGACAGATGTGCAGAGACGGGAATGATGATCTAACAGAGCCCCTGTGGAGACCTGCGTAAGTGGCTCTCTCCCCAACCCAGGGAGCCTGCCCTCCCTCTCTGCTTGCATGAGGGAGAGACTGGGTCCCAGGAGATGCAGGGGTGAGGACTCCCCTCTGGAGAGCAGCAGCCTGCTCTGGCAGGGAGAGCACTGGATTGGGAGTCAGGAGCCTTGGGCTCCAGGTTGGGCTTGGCCACTGGCTCACAGAAGGACCCTGAGTGAGTCCCTTCTCTGCTCTGTTTTCTGTGCTGGCAAGGGAAGAAGGTGGAGCGGCAGGGTCATCCCTAGGTCCCCTCTGGCTGTCAATCCATGGCTCTGTGATGCTGAGCCAATCCCTTCTGGCCCCCTTGCCTCGTCCTCCCTGTGAACTCAGGGAATGCCTCAAGCAGGAAGGCACCTATCCACCCACATCAAACCAGGCCACCTTGCTCTCCCTGGAGGGCTAGGTCCCCCATGGGAGAAGCACTGACAGTTCCCGCAGATCTTTACTTTCTGGGTGGGTCAGGTGACAGGGAGGAAAGGGACCTGGAATGACATGGAAGCCCCTCTGAAGTCCCTCCTCACCCAGCTACTCCCCGACGCCTCTCAAGGGGCAGGGCAGTGGCACCCAGTCCCTGCTCCCCTCGAACAGGACTGCTTAGGCCCAGCCAGGCCTCCCCCTGGTGTCCTGCCTTCAGCCCACCCTGTCCGCTCGGCTGCTAGATCTTGTGTTACACAGGGCAGCTGCCCCCTCTTTCCTAAGCAAGGCATCTGCCTCAGTTTCCCCTACCCTTTCCGCAGTGAGCAGGACAAGCCCTGCCTCTCCCAAGGCTCAGGGAAAGGAGCCAGGCTGGGGAGATGCATTCTTCCACACCTTGGCCCATTGCGCGTGCTCCAACCGACGAGGTGCCACCTCAGAGACAGTCCCACCCCTGCCCATCCAGCCAGGTTCTCCTCTCCCTCTCCCCTTCAACAGGGAGTTCTGCGGGTGCTTTTTCATCTTGCCTGCTGGGGCCAGAAGTCAGCAGGCCTGGGCTCTGGACTGTCCTGGCTTCCGGCTTGCTGTGTAACCTGGACAGATCCTTCTCCAGAGGGCCTTGACTTCCCCATCTGCGGAATCTGAGGGGATTAGACCTGAATGGTCCTTCTCAGGATGTGGTCCTGGGTCCAGCAGCATCAACATCCCCTGGGAACTTGTTACAGATGCAGATTCCCAGGCCACACTTGGACTCACTGAATCAGGAACACTGGGGGTTGGGGCCCAGTTGTCTTTTTTTTTTTTTTTTTTTTTTTTTTTGAGACAGGGTCTCGCTGTGTTGCCCAGGCTGGAGTGCAATGGCACGATCTCGGCTCACTGCCACCTCTGCCTCCCGATTCAAGTGATTCTCCTGCCTCAGCCTCCCCAGTAGCTGGGACTACAAGCGCGCCACCACACCCAGCTAATTTGTGTATATTTAGTTGAGATGGGGTTTCTCTATGTTGTTGAAGCTGGTCTTAAACTCCTAACCTCAGGTGATCCACCTGCCTAGGCCTCCCAAGGTGCTGGGATTACAGGCATGAGCCACCGCGCCCAGCCAGCAATCTGTCTTAACACCCTCTGCAGGTGACCTGGGCTGCACTAGAGGGCCTCGGTGGTGGAGACCGCGATGGGCCACTCAGACTTGGCTTCAGAGTGCCGCCAGGAGACCGCCCTCCACCCTCACTCCATGCGGGGGTTGGCCTGGGCAGCAGGAAAGCACCTTTCGGGGCAGCCTATAGGAGCTGAGTGATTGGCTTCAGGTTAAAGGCCCCTCACCCCCACCCAGGGCAGTGCTGAAGGGCCCTCCAGCTCCTGACCTCCTGGGGTCAGCAGGGGCTTCAGCCTCCTCCTCGACACAATCCTGCTTCCTTCCTTCTCCCCCACGGGCCTCAATCCCAAGAGCTCTCTCTATACATGCCCTGCACGCCAATCACTGTGGAGTCTGCTTCCCGGGGACTCCAGCCTGCGGTAGCCTTGACAGGCTCTGACATTCAGTTCCCTTCTCCGTTCTCCTCCTCCACCTCCATCACTACAGCATGTTAAGCACTCACTGTGTGCAGGGCCCGGGATGAGAACTTTAAGTGCACTGTTTTGTCAATTCCCAAGACCACCCTGGGAGCTTCATCTTACAGGTGAGGCTCAGAGAAGTTAAGTGACCTGCCTGTGTCCCCCAATAGTAGGTGGAGGGTCGGGGCTGCTCTGTCTGATGCCACAGCCCAGCTTCTATCCAGCTCACCCTCCTGCATCTCAGGGAGGCCCACACACTCATGCGGACCTCTGGAGTTGTGGTAGGGGGGTAAAGAAAGGGGGACTAGGAGCAGGGTTCTGAAAATGCCTGTGACACTCAGGAAAGTGCCAGCTGACCCTGGCTTCCCACAGTAACCCCAGGGCCAGCAGCCAGGGCTCCTGAGCCATGCAGGAGATGCAGCCCCTATCCTCTAGGAACAAACAGGCCCATGGGGAAAAACACATGTATGTCCCTACTACAGGGCTGCCTCTGATGAGCCAGGAGAGGGGGCCCGGGAGGACTGGGGAGACTTCCTCTAGGACATGAGATGCAGGGCACCAGGCAGAAGCCAGGGACGTGCAGGTTCTTGGCGAACCTGTAGTGTGGGATGGATGGCAGGGGAGGGGCCACAGCCAGGCCACAGAGCGGCAATGACTGGAGCTTCTCAGGAGGCCAGAGCCAAAATGGCCCTCCAAGGGCAGCCAACCTGGGTGGCCAAGCGGAGGAGCCCTCTGGGTGGGGAGGAACTGCCCAGGCCTCCGGGGCAATAGGAACAGCTGCAGGTCATTCCTGGAAAAGGAGAATTAACCCAAGCCAAGCCAAGGCCTCCCTGCCTCCTGGGAAAGGCACAGTGGGGTGGAAAGAATGGAGGCTTTGGAATCAGAAAGCTCTGGACCACCCCTCAGCTCTCCCACATGCTAGGGATGTGGCTCTGAGCAAGCCATTTAATTTCTTGAAGCCTTGTGTCCCTCATCTATTGAATGGGCACAATGTCCCCTCCTTTCATGTTTAAATAACATGATGTATATCTAGCACGTGGAATTGAGCAGGCTCACAATGGCCGTTCCATCCTGTTCCACTTTATTTCAAGGCCAGTGACTTGGAAATTAACACGAAATGCCCACCACTCCTCCTGGAATGTGGCAAGTTATATTCAGTGGACCCTTCCTCCATGTAGAAGGCTCTTGGCCATCCTTGAAGATCCGTTCCAAAAGCTCCCTCCATCTTTTTTTGTTTGTTTGTTTGTTTTTGAGATGGAATCTTGCTCTGTCACCAGGCTGGAGTGCAGTGGCACAATATTGGATCGCTGCAACTTCTGCCTCCCGGGTCGGAGCGATTCTCCTGCCTCAGCCTCCCGAGTAGCTGGGACTACAGGCACGCACCACCATGCCCAGCTAATTTTTGTATTTTTTGTAGAGACGGGGTTTCACCGTGTTGGCCAGGATGGTCTCGATCTCCACCTCGTGATCCACCCACCTTGGCCTCTCAAAGTGCAGGGATTACAGGTATGAGCCTCCATGCCTGGCCACTCCCTCCATCTTTACATGGTCCATCTCTCTCCTCCAAGGCACTCCTCACATGGAGGACGTTTCTGTCTTACAGTCCATAAAACCAGAACAGATGAGAGAGTTGAAAGGGACCTCGATTCTGAGATACTCCAGAACAGCAATTGTCTCAAAAGGTTTCTGTGGATAAATACATTTGGGACATGCTAGGTTAAAAATAAACATGGCCCTCTCCTGCAGGACTGATCAGAGCCTTTAATGCACTGAGGAGCACTAAGAATCCCCAAGAAGGGGATCCAGTGTGAATGGAGTGTTTCTTAAACATTTGCCCAAGAAACTTTTTTGACCACAGAGTAAGTATCCTTTAACATGGGGATACTGATCTAAGCTCATAATTATTTTATAGATGGGAAATTGAGGCCCAGAGTGGCGAATTAATATACTCAGAGTCACACAGGGTATCAGAAGCAGAGCTGGGGCTGGAACCCAACCTCCTCCCTTTCAAGGGTCCTAGAAAATGGTGTTAGTTGTTTTCCAACAGCTGCTTGGACAAGAGGCGGCAGATACAAATGAGTCCATGGTGCCTCGTCTTGCTGCTCCCGTGGAAGGAGGTCGCACACACCACCCCACTGCCATTCTCACCTCTCTCACTCCTGATAGTGCCGGTCCCTCTGCATCCTGTTGCACTGCTCTCTGCCTCCGTTTCTTACCAGCACCTTCTGTATGGCCAGAGCTGTATGCCCAGCTCCTCCCTCAGCCTAGCTGCCGGCAGAGCTCCATGAATATGAGGAAACGCGAGTCAGTGGAGAAGGAGCCCCATCAGCCTGCAGCACTGGGGCTGGGGGTGAAAACAGAAGCAGGCAGGGGACAGCTTGGCACCAAAGCCACCTGCAGACACGAAGAGAATAAAGGTGTCCCTTTCCTCTGCAGGGAATGCTTTACTTATTCCAGCAACATTTAGGTGGATATGTTGCCCCACTTCTCAAAGCAAGCTGTCCACTTCCTATACTTAGGCAAGAGTGAGCAGACTGATACTGGGTTTCAGCTAAGAATAGGCCTTTGGCTGACCATCTAAAGTCAGGCCATCCTCGTGCTGCTCTGCTGTTTCATGCACTGGGGACATGGTCTTTAGGGTCCAGTGACTGTCAGAAAGGGAAGCAGCCTCCAGCCATACAATCAATCCATCGCCCATCCGTCCAGTCATCCGATCAACCAACCAGACACCAAACAGCTTCCTATCCACTCACCTGTACGTTCAAGGGAAACAGGCAAAGGATTGCATCAGCAGTGATATGCTGATTAACCACTTGCTCTCCGGAACAAAAAGCCCTGGCTTGTGCCATTTGCCAATTTCCATGGTGTTACTATTCCCACAATTTTAAGTTACCAACGTGATGTCACTGATGTGGAACTGGGAAAAGATGGATAGTAGCACACT
Organism: Homo sapiens; assembly: GCF_000001405.40. Classification (NCBI taxonomy): domain Eukaryota; kingdom Metazoa; phylum Chordata; class Mammalia; order Primates; family Hominidae; genus Homo; species Homo sapiens. The sequence goes on from NC_000003.12 coordinate 195,048,915, forward strand.
CTCATATAGTATTTCTACCATACACATACAGATAACCTCAAGGGCATAGATTATAGTAAAATGTAGGATGATAATTAATAATTGATGTATTTTGAATATTGACTACCTTTGTTTTTAGGATCTAATTGATGGTTTATCTAATTTAATTATTTATTTATTTTTGAGATGGAGTCTTGCTCTGTTGCCCAGGCTGGAGTGCAGTGGCACAATCTTGGCTCACTGCAAGCTCTGCCTCCCGGGCTCAAGTGACTCTCCTGCCTCAGCCTCCTGAGTAGCTGGGACTACAGGCACCTGCCACCATGCCCGGCTAATTTTTGTATTTTTGGTAGAGACAGGGTTTCACCATATTGGCCAGGCTGGTCTCGAACTCCTGACCTTGTGATCCGCCCACCTTGACCTCCCAAAGTGCTGGGATTACAGGCATAAGCCACCGCGCCCAGCCAATTTAATTTTTAATAATGGTTGTTTTGAACAACTGGATCACAAAATTCTTGAAAAATTAATAATCAGCTTTCCCAATATGAGGTGGCTCCAGCTCAAGGTAGATTTGGAACACAAAGGAAAAAGTTCTTCTATACTGGAAGCAGGAGTTGAAAGGCGATCACAGTGAAATAATGACAGTCAACTCCTGTAAGTCTATACTAGGGAAGGAGACCAGTCTGACTTAGCTATGTCTGAAGCACACAGTTTAAAACGATCTTTAATTCTTAAAAAAAAAAAAAAAAGCTTTTATTTGAGGTTCAGGGGAACATGTGCAAGTTTGTTATATAGACTCATGTCATGGGGGTTTGCTGTACAGATTATTTCATCACGTAGGCACTAAGCCTAGTATCAAGCACTTAGCTTTTTTGCTCCTCTCTTCCTCCCACCCTCCACCCTCAGGTAGACCCCAGTGTCTCGTTCCCTTCTTTGCGTCCATGTGTTCTCATCATTTATCTCCCACTTGTGAGAACATGGGGTATTTGGTTTTCTGTTCCTGCATGAGTTTGTTAAGGATAATGGCCTCCAGCTCCATCCATGTTTCCTCAAAAGACATGTCTCCTTCTGTTTTTTTTTTTGGCTGCATAGTATTCCATGGTGTGTATGTACCACGTTTTCTTTATCCAATCTGTCACTGATGGGCATTTAGGCTGGTTCTATGTCTTTGCTATTGTGAGTAGTGCTGCAATGAACAGTCAGGGCCATGCGTCTTTATAATACAATGATCTCTGTTCCTCTAGGTATATACCCAGTAATGGGATTGCTGGGTCGAATGGGAGTTCTGCTTTTAGCTCTTTGAGGAATCGTCACACTGCTTTCCACAATGGTTGAATTAATTTACACTCCCATCAACAATGTATAAAAAAAAAGTCTTCTTTTCTCCACAACCTTGCCAGTATCTGTTCTTTTTTGACTTTTTAATAATAGTCATTCTGACTGGTACGATTTGCATTTCTCTAATGATCAGTGATGTTGAGCTTTTTTTCAAGTGCTGTTTGGCCCCGTGTATGTCTTCTTTTGAAAAGTGTCTGTTCATGTCCTTTGCCACTTTTTTGTTTGTGTTTTTCTTATAAATTCGTTTAAGTTCCTTATAGATGCTGGATATTAGACCTTTGTCAGATGCATAGTTTGCAAACATTTTCTTTCATTCTGTAAACTGTTTACTCTGTTGATAGTTTCTTTTGCTGTGCAGAAGCTCTTAAATTTAACTAGATCCCTTTTGTCAATTTTTGTTTTGTTGCGATTGCTTTTGGCATCTTCGCCATGAAATCTTTGCCTGTTCCTATGTCCAGGATGGTATTGCCTCGGTTGTCTTCTAGGGTTTTTATAGTTTTGGGTTTTATATTTAAGTCGTTAGTCCATCTTGAGCTGATTTTTGTATGTGATGTAAGGGAGGGGTCTATTTTCAGTCTTCTGCATATGGCTAGCCAGTTATCCCAGTACCATTTATTGAATAGGGAGTTCTTTTCCCATTGCTTGTTTTTGTCAGCTTTGCTGAAGATCAGATGGTTGTAAATGTGTGGCCATATTTCTGGGCTCTCTGTTCTATTCCATTGGTCTGTGTCTGTTTTCGTGCCAGTAGTATGCTGTTTTGGTGAAGTATAGTTTGTAGTATAGCCGTGTAGTATAGTTTGAAGTTGGGTAATGTGATGTCTCCAGCTTTGTTCTTTTTGCTTAGGATTGCCTTGGCTATTCGGGCTCTTTTTTTGGTTCCATATGAATTTTAAAATACTTTTTTCTAGTTCTGTGAAGAATGTTGTTGGTAGTTTGATAAGAATAGCATTGAATCTATAAATTGCTTTGGGCAGTATGGCCATTTTAATGACATTGGTTCTTCTTAGTCATGAACATAAAATGTGTTTCCATTTGTTTGTGTCATCTCTGATTTCTTTGAGCAGTGTTTTGTAATTGATTTCTTTGAGCAGTGTTTTGTAATTCTCATTGTAGAGATCTTTCACCTCTCTGGTTGGCTATATTCCTAGGTATTTTATTCTTTTTGTGGCAATTGTGAATGGGATTGCCTTTCTGACTTGGCTCTCAGCTTGGCTGTTGTTGGTGTATAGGAATGCTCGTAATTTTCGTACATTCATTTTTTATCCTGAAACTTTGCTGACGTTGTTTACCAGTGGAATGAGCTTTTGGGCTGCGAGTATAAGGTTTTCTAGATGTAGAATCATGTCATCTGCAAACAGGGTTGGTTTGACTTCCCCTCTTCCTATTTGGATGCCCTTTATTTCTTTCTCCTGCCTGATTGCCCTGGTCAGGACTTTCAATATGTTGAATAGGAGTGGTGGGAGAGGGCATCCTTGTCTTCTGCAGGTTTTCGAGGGAAATGCTTCCAGCTTTTCCCTGTTCAGTATGGTGTTGGCTGTGGGTTTGTCACATAGATGGCTCTTATTATTTTGAGGTACATTCCTTCAATACCTAGTTTATTGTGAGTTTTTGACATGAAGGGATGTTGACTTTTCTGAAAGCCTTTTCTACATCTGTGGAGGTAATCATGTAGATTATCTTCAGTTCACGACATATTTAATTCCATTGCATTCATGTATCCTGAATAATTTCAGTCCTATTTTGCTTTCCAGGGTCAACAGTATTCAGTTAAGCACCACTTTCTTCTTGAGCAACTTTCTTCTCTCGGTTCTTCTGGCCCCTTCACTTTGTTGTTCCCCTGTTACTTCAATCTCCTTTGCTAATTCCTCCTCCTTTTCAGCTCAGTGTGTGAATGTTGGAGTGTTCGGAGTTTGGTCCTGGGCCCTCTTCTCACTATTTACACTCTCTTCTTAAGGATTTCAATTAGTCCAGAGGCTCTAAATATCATGTATCAGTGCTTTCTTATTTTTTGTCTAAGCGTCACATAGAAATAATTTTTTAAAAACCCAAACAGTGCTAAAAAGCTTATTTTTAAAAAGCAGGAGTATCTTATCTATCTTCCCCACACCTCTTCAGAAACAATCTCTTTTCATTTGTTTCCTTCCAGGATTTACCTATTTATCTCCATATTTCTAAACAGCATGCATATCTTGCTAGCCTTTTTACAATCAATTTTATATAAATGTGTGTGTGTGTGTGTAATTTTTTTTTTTTTTTGAGATGGAGTCTCGCTCTGTCGCCCAGGCTGGAGTGCAGTGGCACAGTCTCGGCTCACTGCAGCCTCTGCCTCCCAGGTTCAATCGATTCTCTGCCTCAGCCTCCCGAGTACCTGGGATTACAGGCACGTACCACCATGCCCGGACAATTTTTGTATTTTTAGTAGAGACTGGGTTTTGCCATGTTGGCCAGGCAGGTCTCGAACTCCTGGCCTTAACTGATCCACCTGCCTCAGCCTCCCAAGGTGCTGGGATTACAGGTGTGAGCTACCATGCCCAGCCTCGATTTAATATATTATCTGTTAACTTCTTATTATAGTAAATAATGATTTGAGATATTTTACATCATCTATTTCCCTCTTTGCACTTCAAGTTTTAAAAAAAAATCTGTAGTAGTATTTCACTGATAGGATTAAGTTAATATTTTCATTGATGGGCCCAGCAAATGCATATTCTTTCTTTAAACCTTTTTTTCTGGAGTCAATAATTTTTATTTGCTTACTTTTTGTTGTTGTGGTTATTGCTGTTTTACTCTCTGGCTAGCTCTCCCTGCACCCTCTAAGGCCTGTCAGTTATTCGCATGGTCAAGTATGTCACTACTTTGTCAGTTCCACTTCCCTCCAAACCCCTCCCACCTCCCGCTCCCACCTCCCACTCCCATCTGCACTGCCGCTCTCCCAGCCTGCTGCACAGCCGAGCATCCCCTTCAATTCCTGGCTCCATTAGCCCCCTGCTTCCTGGATCTTGTGCATTCTTTTTTCTTGGTTTACTTCCTTGCAATGGTGACGCTTTCCTCCTGAAGCTTTCCGAGAAAGGAGGCAAATGTTCTAAGAGTTTGTGTGCTGTGTCTTCATTCTTATCTCACACTTGACTGGAGTTTCTAGGATTTTCTTTTTGTCTGATATTCTTAAATTTCACATTGATTGCATTGAGGTCAGCCTTTTTACCTTCTTTGTACTGTGCATTTCTGTCTTCCAGTTCTAGCAACTTTTCTTACATGATTTCTTTGGTACTATCCTCCAAATTACTTAGAACTTACACTGGGCAGATGTTGAAACTTCTAATTTCTGAAAATATATTTTTCCCCTATTTTTCACTTTTGTCTTTTCCCCTCTCCTTTCTTACAGAATTCCTCTAATTCGTTGTTCAACCATGTTATTCAATTTTTTTTTTTTTTTTTTTGAGATAGAATCTCGCACTTTCACCCAGGCTGGAGTGCAGTGGCACGATCTCGGCTCACTGCAAGCTCTGCCTCCTGGGTTCACGCCATTCTCCTGCCTCAGCCTCCTGAGTAGCTGGGACTACAGGTGCCCACCACCAAGCCTGGCTAATTTTTTGTATTTTTAGTAGAAACGGGGTTTCACCGTGTTACCCAGGATGGTCTCCATCTCCTGATATCATGATCTGCCCAGCTGGGCCTCCCAGAGTGCTGGGATTACAGGTGTGAGCCACCGCGCCCGGCCGAATTTTTTTATTTTATCTATCATTTTTAATTGCCAAGAATATTTGATTAGTCCTGGGTGTTTCTTTTTTTGTAGCCCTTCTTTGTGTTTCACAGATGCGGTACCTCCTCATCCTTTGAGGATATTATAATTTATTTTGACATTTTCTTTTTCTCTGAGTGCCTTTTCTCTGATTGTGTGCTTTGATCTCTATCTTTTGTGTCAGAGGGCTTTCCTCAAATGTCTGATGGACTTTATCTGAGCCCTTGTGTCCAAATGCAAACAGGAGACTCTGGGTGTACAGGTGGGATTAGGAGACTGGTGGGCTTCCTTGCAGGGTGCTCTGGTGGTCAGTTGGTATTTCCATTTAGGACCCCGAAATGTCATAGCTACAGGTATTTTCTGGGCAGTTCAGTTTCTCCAGAGAATAGAAGGTGTCTCCTCCAATTGCCTGCTCCAGGACAGAAGCCCAGCTGCTGGGTCCAAGAGCTGGACAGGGAAGGGGCTGGGGCAGGTCTCCAGTCAATGTGCAGAACCTCGCTCAGCTTGTTGTTTTTAGTCAGGGCTTCACCACTGCCCCCCCGCCCCCATTCTCGGGGCCTCCTAGTGCATTTTAAACAGAGAATAAAGTTCCAGTCTCCTGCAGGACTGGGGAGAGGGTGCTCATCGGTGGGGACCTCATGGGGACTGCCTCTTAGATTTTCAGTGCCTCCCGCCCCCTCCCGTTTCCAGCCCCCATTTCCCAGGCCTCATTCCCACCCTTCCCAGCTTGTGCCTCCCACTCCCCTTCCTTCCTGGCTTCTGTAAGGTGTCTCAGCTTCCTTTCTGTGGGCACGCTGTGCCTTGCAGGCACCTACATGGGGGCTTTCTCCTCTTTGCCAAGTCATTTCTCATTCTTCTGTCTACCTCCTATCTTCACCTACTGTGATTTGGAGGCATAAACATCTTCCCATTTCCTCAGACTGGAGTTTTATTTTAGGGATTTTTTTCTCTTTTATTTTGGGGGTGATTTTCAAGAGAATGGAAGCAATGTGTCCCTCACTTAATCATCTTGAAACCATACAACTGACACCCAGATGTATAGCCCACAACCAACCCCTCTCCTGGACCCTCCCCTGAATGCCAACAGCCTGTTTGAGGTCTATACTTGGTTGTTGAATAGACACCTCAAGTTTGTCACCAACAGGACACTTGATTTCTTCCCCTCACCCCAAATTGCTCTGTCAACATCTTCTCTATCTCAATAAAAGCATTCCCCAAATTCCTCAAGCCAAAGCCACTGGCGGAAGCCTGGACTCCCCTCTTTTGCTCGTCCCCAGTCCGCCTACAGCCCTAGCCCTCAGCAAGGCCTGGATGCTCCCCCTTCACACACTTCCTGCTTCTTCATTCTGTCCACTTCAATCAGTCACCAACCCAAGCCTCCTTCACCTTTTGCCTACACAATTTTATCACCCCCTACCTGGGCTTTCTCCTGACACTCTTGTCCCCTCCAGCCTACTCTATACAATGACCACAAATGTCACTTCCCTGCTTCAAACGCTCCAGTGGCTTCCTGGCTTCCCATCACATTTGGATAAGACCCAATTCCTTCCTGTGGCAATGAGGCCCTCCGTGACCCACCGCTCGCTCTCTCTGTGGCAATGAGGCCCTCCATGACCCACTGCCTCTCTCTGACCTCACTTCCTGTGCCTGCTCTCCTCTCTATGCCTGGGCTACCACGGTCTTCTGGCCATCCCTCCAACTGCTCCAACTTGTTCCTTCCTTGTGCCTTTGTTCTCGCTGTTCCCTCTGCCTGGAATCCTCTCCCCAAGACGTCACATAGCTGCTTCCTTCACTTTTTTTTGAGACGGAGCCTTGCTCTGTCACCCAGGCTGGAGTACAACGGCGTGATCTTGGCTCACTGCAACCTCCACCTCCTGGGTTCAAGTGATTCTCTTGCCTCAGCCTCTCGAATAGCTGAGATTACAGGTGCCCACCACCACGCACAGCTAATTTTTGTATTTTTAGCAGAGACAGAGTTTCGCCATGTTGGCCAGGCTGGTCTTGAACTCCTGACCTCAGGTGATCCGCCCGCCTAGGCCTCCCAAAGTGCTGGGATTACAGGCATGAGCCACCGACCTGGCCCCCTCCTCCTCACTTTTAAGCTTGTTTACTTATTTGTTATCCATCTCTCTTCCCACCAGAAGATAAGCCCCCTGAGGTCAGGAACCATGTGCACCTTGATCCCTGCTGTATCTCCAGCACCTAGAACAGTATTGGAGACACAGTAGGAACCCAATAAATACTTCTTGAATGATAGACTAGTTGGAAGCCAGAAGTCATCTGCTCTAGTGCAAGCTTTACCACTTGCAAGCTAGGCAAGTGTAGGTAACTTTACCTCTGTGAGCCTCAGTTTCCCCTACCTGCACAATGGGGATAATAGTCTCTTTCCTTTCCATCTGGGGTGGGTGGGCACACTGTTGTAAGGTGAAATGAACCTTGTGAAATGAAAGTGAAGACCCTTCGTAAGTGCATATTTGTGAACCGTGAGGTCCTGTGGACTCATGAAGGGCAGGAGAGCTGCTTCCATCTTTACCACTCCCCCCAGCCCCCACTTACCCCAAGGGAACCTGGGAGTGAAAGGAGGGCTGCAGGGAAAGGGCACTTGAAATTAATAACCTTATTTCAGAGTGAAAGTCCCACTGCCATTTGCACAGCAGGAAGCAGGAGAGTAGCAGCTCTTCGGCAGGCAAGGACTCCGTATCTGAGGCTGGGGAGCTCCTGCACTGGCCCTGGCTGAGCAGCGAGGTGGCCCAGGCTCTGCAACCTGAACCCACGTGGAGTCACACCATGACCCAGGACTCCACGGATTATACTGACTCAGCTAGAGTCAAGAGGGCTGCAGTGCTTATTGATGACATCTTTTTAAAATCATTATTTCAGAGACAGAGTCTTGCTCTGTTGCCCAGGCTGGAGTGCAGTGGTACCACCACAGCTCACTACAGCCTCAAAGTCCTGGACTCAAGGGATCCTCCCACCTCAACCTCTTGAGTAGTTGGGATTACAGGTGCACGCCACCACACCCAGCTAATTTTTTTTTTTTTTTTACTTTTTGTAGAGATGGGTATTGCCATCTTGCCCAGGATGGTCTTGAAATCCTGGGCTCAAGTTATTTGCCCACCTTGGCATCCCAAAGTACTAGGATTACAGGTGTGAGCCACTGCACCCAGCATCTGTGTGTGTGTGTGTGTGTTTTGTTTTGTTTTGTTTGTTTGTTTAGAAAAATCACAGCACCTTCTGGCACAGGTCAATGTTATCTTAGCTGGGTCAGGACAGTTCCTTCTGTATTTAGGTAAGGTTGTCAATCTTCCTTTTTAAAAATGTCGGCTGCAATTTTAAGAAATGATATTGTGTTTTGCTTCCTAGGGCTCCTTTTATTAATCCCCCTCCCTTCTCAGGGTTTTAGCCCAACCATGAGTGTGTGATTCGATCTGGAAACTGTCCAGAGCACAAATCAAACCAAGAGGGCTCTTCCTGGGCTCCAGCGTTTCCACCGAGCCATGTTTTCGCGTCGGCTTCAGGACAGGTGCAGTGGGTGCCCCTTCCCCAAGGCACCTCCCACTCTCCTGTGTCTCTGTTTGCCTTTGGGATCCTCAGGGTGGCTTTCTGTGGTGCTTTTTGTAGGAAATTGAGATTGCCATGGGGAAAGGGGAAAAGGGAGAGTGATGAGTGTGGTCATTTTCCTAAGGACCCGGTCCTGCGGTTGTTCAGAGGGTACTCCCCTTCCTAGAAGTAGGAAGAGCCTCTGAAGCTGGGACCTGAATGTGCTCAGGAGCAGAGTCACTGTTTCTCAAAGGAGTTAGTTGAGGAGACCAGGAGGGAAATGAGCTTGGAAGTCTAGAATCCTAGGGCGCTCAGGACACACAGGTCAGGCCCCCCAAGCTCTCGTCTGTTCCTTTTCTTGCGAGCTCGCATGGCCTCTGCTTGCACACCCCCAGGGACACGGTGCTCACTCCTTCTCTAAGCATCTCCTGCCATGTCTGCCTGCACTTCAGGACCATCCAGCTGGGCTCTGCGGAGCAGGGGTAATAGAACATTTTAGGGTGTTCCCAATCAGATAAAGGGAATTTTTTTTTTTTTTTTGAGATGGAGTCTCACTCTGTCATCCAGGCTGGAGTGCAGCGGTGCAATCTTGGCTCACTGCAACCTCTGCCTCCTGGGTTCAAGAGATTCTCCCGTCTCAGCCTCCCAAGTAGCTGGGACTATAGGTGCCCACCACCACGCCTGGCTAATTGTTTTTGTATTTTTAGTAGAGACAGGGTTTCGCTATATTGGCCAGGCTGGTCTTGAACTCCTGACCTTGTGATCCACCTGCCTCGGCCTCCCAAAGTGCTGGGATTACAGGCATGAGCCACCGCACCCGGCCAGATAAAGGGAATTTTATGGTGAAACAATTGCCGCAGAGACCGTCATGTCCCAGGAATCTATTAAGCTAGAGAAGAGGACAGATGTGAGCACAGGATATTAATTCAGTGGGGGCACAGAGGGGCCTTTCCTGCCAGGAGTGTTCATTTCTGAGCCTCCACCCCTCAGTCTGCCCTGACGCCAAGTCCTCCCAAGTGCCTGGCACTCTCCCATCCCTCCCTCCTGTGGCCCCCTCTGGGATTCTGGGGGCTGGGCAGCCCTGGGCCTGTCTCCACTCACTCTGCCCTCCTGTTTCCTGAATCCGCCGCTTCCATTTCTCTCCTGTACTGAGGAAGGGGATGGTTTTCAGTTATCCCCAGGCAAGTAGCAGAGAGTTAATGAGGGCCCACCCTGTGCCTGGCAGTGGAGTCAGTGGAGTCAGGTGCAGGGAGCACGAAGATGCCAGAGCTCCTGCCTCCCAGGGGTGCGGAAACCAGAGGCACAGTGGGATGCAAGAGGCGGTGGGAGCACGGTGGTGCCTGTCCAGCTAGAGGTGCAACCCGCTGACACGCCAGGCCCCGGGGACCCGCATCAGCCTCTTGTGGCATCCAACAACATGGAGCCCGGCAAAGTGAAATTAAGAAGGTCCGTCTGTATCTGTGTGCCTTGAAAAAGAGTGAGGATCCTATTCATAACCCCGGCCACAAGCGTCACCATCTCTCAAACTCTCTTTCTGTGAAACAGGCCCTAAGCACCTCTCTCCTCTCCCCATCATCCGGCCGCGCGGCCTCCTGTCAAAAGGGCCCTGGACTTCTGCTTCCTTCCGCAGGCCATGCCAGAAAACACAGGCTGCTCCTAGACAGAGGCCCCAGCGTCCGCCCTCCGCCCCCGCCTCCTTCACCCACCTCAGGACATGCAGCTCGTTGCTCAGGATAACGCTCTTTCTTACAAGCCCTGGACAAGAAATATTCTCCACCAACTTGCAGAGGGAGGCTCAGGGTGTCACAGGTGACAGGAGGGACACCCAGCTCCAGCTGAGGGGGCAGGGAGGCTTCCTCTCCCTTGAGCTCAGTTCTCACAGAGGAGCAGAGGTGGAAGGAAGAAAGCGGTGAGGAGCAGGGCAGGTGCCCCAGCAGAGCCACAGGAGGGTCTGGGCACAAGCGCAGAGCCTGGCCCATTCGTTCCTTCATCCCCACGGGTCACGGGCTGAGAAGACAGACTCAAAGTTAGCTCTTCCCACGACGGCTTGTTCACGCAGACCTGAGTCCGGAGGCGCTCGCTGCACTTGGTATAATTCCCACTTTCTTGTCTTTTGGTACCAAGAGATTCCAACCAAAGGCTTCAGTCCCCTGGCAGGTCTAAAAGCCTGTGATGACCGCCAGGAGCCCCAGCCTGAGAAGGCCCTGTCCTGTCTCACCCAAACTGTGCCGGGACCCCTCCCCTTTTGCACGCGCCGTGCCGGGACCCCTCCCCTTTTCCATGCGGGACGACTCCCTAGAACGTGAGGATGCTCGCTTTGCTTTTAAAACTTTGTCTCCACCTAGGCCTTGAAGTATAGATTCTGGCACAACCCCTTTCTGCTACAAAGGAGGCAAGTGAGGGCTAGAGATGGGACTAACTTGTCTGGGTCACACAGCAAGTCTGTGGCAGGGCAAGGATAATAATCCTAGGGGCAGAGTCCACCCAGAGCCTGGATGGAACACAGCACGTATTTCCTCTCTAGGGCTCAGGTCATAGCCTCCCTGGTAGTTCCCTGGTAGCTCCCTGTGTAGAGTTGGGACCCTAGCATGTGCCACAGAGAGGCTCAGAGAGGCCAAGTATGCTCCTAACTAAAGGCCACACAGCCGTGCTTTCTCACCTGGGGCACGCAGCAGGAATCCAGGAGGCATCCCTCACCCTCAGTGTGGATCCATGGGGACCCCTCTCTGGGCACCGACCTGCAGCAGTGAGACAGACTCACTGCGTGGGAAGTTCTGTCAGAATGAGGACTGACCCGCCCTCTTCACCTCTGTGACCCCAGAATCTAGCCCATGCAGGGGCTTGGTCAGCTGAGATCATGTCACTGCTCTCCAGCCTGGGTACAAATGAACAAAGTGTCACAGATGTCAACTTGTGCCCCCTCCTGAAAGCCTATATTCTTTTCATGGAGTTCTTCTGACTGACCCTGCCCATGATAAGCAGTGGCCTCACCCCGATGGAGGCTCACCACTTTGGCATCACCCCTGGCACGGGCAGATGCTGCCTCTGGGTCTGCAGGGCTCTTCACCTTTGGAGAGCTCCTCACCTGTCTCGAAGGTGGCTGAGGTCCTGCCTCCTCCTGCCGAGCCACAGCCCTACAGCCTGTCGGTGTGCCCAGGGCTGCTCACAGATCCCCTGTGGGCCACTGGGCCCTGTCGGGATCCACACGTGGAGGGAAAGGACAGAAGAATAAGGTCTTGTTCCCTGCTAAAAGCAGATGGCCCTCCCTGGTGTTGCCATTGGGACCAGCTAGCACCACTGGGGCACGCTGGGCTGGGACAGTCTGGGCAGTGTCACCATGGAGAGGTGGCTGACCTGCACAGGCAGCCTGGCCTGTGCTCTCGCCCAGGGAAGGATGCCAGGGAACCTGCAAGAGGAGAGAGCGGAGGCAGGACATGCCCAGAGCTGAAAGCCTTTGAGGAGAAAGAACCAAGAGTAGACTAGAGGGCAGCCAAGGTGGGAGCTGCAGGAGGGGGTGCTGTGGGCCGCCGGGCCTGCAGGGGCAGCGCTCCGGGAGGGACGCTGCTGTGCCACCAGCCCCTGCTTCAGGATGGAGGCCTTGTTCTCCCGCAAGTGTTGGGCGCTGATGGCAGGGAGCAGAGTCCCCAGGAGTGACCCTGGCTGAAGAGAGCTGCCTTGCCCAAGGCTATGCCCTCACCCGGGGCCGCCCATGCCCAGTGCCAGGACAGGTGAGGGTTGAAGGCCCCACTTCTGGGCATCAACCCAGGGCTTATGTGCAAGGCCACCCTGGCTCTGGGGCTCTCTGTGGGACTGGCTGAGGCCTTTGTCATGACTGTCTCGGAGCTCAACATCTCCCTGCCTAATCCTGTTCCCTCCCCTCCCACAGAGCAGTTTCCAGGAAGCCTCCTGCTCGTGAATCTCCATCTCTCGATCTGTGTCCTAGGAACAGCAGAAACCCAGTAGGGAGAGGCAGCAGTGGTGTGGGATTGTAGTACAAGGGGTCTGGGTGCCAGGGAGACGGGGGGAGCCCCAGCTGGGGAGTTTCAAGGCCTGTGCGGCAGGAGGATCCTGGGGTCCCTGGGAAAGGAGGCTGAGCTGGGGAAAGAGGCTGGAAGGAAAGAGACTGCCGTGGCTTCTTGGTTTGGAGAGAAGATGAAATTTCCTAAAAGGATGGACAGGATGAGATGGATCTAAGCTTACCCTGAAGCCGCCTGCCCATGACCATAACCAGGCACTTTGAGTTTTCCGTGCGTGTGCTCACCTGGCCTTGGAAGATTACAGCCAGTCGTGTCACTCTCTATTGCTGGAAAGAAGAGGATTACCTGCTTCCCTGACACCGTGCCTTGCGAGCACGGAAATTCACAAACACCCAGCGGGCACTCTCAGCCCTCGGGCTTGTGCCTGCGTCAAGCCATTCTGGGCCTTGGGAAGTGCCAGGACCGGGCTGGGTAGGCGGAAGAGCTTCCTGGTTTTGCCTGAGGTAAGGGAGAGGGGCTTTTCCTGAGAGAAGGTGGAGGTGCCCAGTGACGGGATAAGTGGGGGTTGAAGGTCGCACTCCTGGGCTTCACCCCACGGCTTCTGTGCAAGGCCACCCTGGCTCTGGGGCTCTCTGTGGGATCGGCCGAGGCTTAATGGACGAACGCCAGGCTCCATCCATGAGACGGCTCGAGTGTGGGGTCGGATGGCCATGGCACTCCCCTGGCAGGACTTCAGCACACCACAGAGCTCCGAGGAAGCTCAGCCATGGCCTGTGTCTGCCCTGGCGTCTCCATGCGGCACTGGGTTGGGCTGGGGTGTGAGGGAGTGAGGTATGTCTAGGGTCTTGAAAGTTCTTTGCTATGAGTTATCTCACCTGCTACTCACAGCAGTCCTGGGAGGGCGGGCAGATCAGGAGCTGGTTACATTCTCCCCCACTCACAGTGGTGCACCCGCTGGCCACAGTCAGGCAGTGAGGACAGGCCAGAAGCCAGGGCCCCTGCCTCCCCGTCCAGCCTCCTTCCACAGCGGCATATGCCACTCATGCGGAGGCAGCTCTGACGCGGGCCACACGCGCTGGAGGACTCCAGTATATCTTGGATCACAACGTGTCAATGCACAGAGACACGTGAACACGAGCACTGTGGTGGAGAGAAAGTGGGGGCTCGTGCCGGTGACCATAGGGGTGGGGGCCAGGTCTCGGGGGAGTAGCTTGCACCACTTAGTCAAAAATGAAGTATCTGCATAGCTTATGATCTGGCGGTTTTGTTCCTGGATATGCAACACAAATTCTCATCGGGTCTGTAAGGAACAAGGGCAGGGATGCTCACGCAGGGTTACTGGGGTGAGCGTGTGGTCCCAGGCTCCATAGGTATCCGTCAGTGCACAGTGAGCCCATCAGAATGGTTGGCTGCTCGGGGGATGGGAGAGGACTGTGGGAATAAAAGGGAATGAAAAATGGAGCGAGAGGCCCCTACAGAAAACAGTGGCGAGCGTGGGTCCTGAAGTGAGGGGGAACGTTGTCTTGCTCCATAAGGCAGCTGGGAAGGTCCGCGGGCTCCATGCTCCCGCGCTCCTGCACAGGCCTGAGCAGCAGGGGGCAGGGGGCTGAGGTGCAGGCTGGAGCCAAGCCCTACGGTTCAGGAAGGGAGGCTGGAGACAGGAGGGCAGCCGGCTTTGGAGATGTGAAGAGGCCCTCCCGCTCTGAGGCTCCGCAGATGAGTGGCCTTCAGCAAGGCTGCTGAGTGTGTCTGCGTGGTGGGACACCTCTTCCCCCTCAGAATGGGGGTGCCAGTGGAGATGCTCTGAGCTGAGCCAGCCTCAATTAAACCGGCCTTCCCTTCACTCTAGAAGGTGTTTTGTTCTTTGCAAGCTCCTTGGGGAGTGGCTGGCTGGTCCGCTCAACACGCCCCGCAGGGTAGCTCTACCTTCTCTCCCTGGTGAAGACTCGGCACTTCCCAAGGTGAGACCAGTGGGGCATGGGACTTTCTGCTGGGGGGGACCCTTTGGAAGGTGGTCACATAGCTGAACGGGACAAGATGTTAGCAGGTATAGCTGTCAATGGATCATAAGCAGAGAGGTGAGGGCTCCTGGGGGACAGCTGATTCTCTTTGGATTGTAAGTGCGCCTCCAGAGTTGGTCTGCACCCCTCACTGTGCCTGTGGAGAATGCGGGAGAAGGGAAGTGTGTAACCGCATACTTTGAGACAGTTTTACTCTGCATGTTCATGTCATGAATCCTAAGTGGGTGAATGACGAGTTGAGGTCTGGCAGTTTCGCATTTGATCTGGACTCTTCTTTACCCACATGTGAACCCCAGTGGCTGCATTTGAAACATGTGTTTCCCCAGACAGCTGGGGGCAGGGATACTGCCCAGAGATCTGGTTCAATCCCTCAGCTCCTTGTTTTTGCAGATGAAGAAACAGGCCCAGAGAGGAAAAAGGTTTATCCAAGGACTCGTGACAGGTTAGCTTTGAGCTGAGGCAGCACTGCCTCCACCTCCTGGACACGCCCAGCAAGTTATCTGTGGACACCTGACTGACAGGTTCACTGTGAGCTGAGGTAGCCCCTGACCTACTGGTTTTTGTGGAGTGGCACAGCCAACAAAAATTGGACAGCTTACAAGCATGCATCTGTTCATCCATGGGGTTACGGAGATGCTACCAACACATTTCATGAGCTCCAAAACGGCTGTAATTTATAATTTAAAAAGAATATTCTAAGTAATAATGGTTAGAATTCCCTTACATCTGTATTATTTCACAGCTTACCAAGTCCTTACACATCTTTTCCTCCTTCCACACTCCTTTGAGGAGCTCTTACCAGTGTCTAGAACTGGGGAAAGAGGTGGCCTTGCCTGTCCAAGATGGCCAGGTAGTGAGGGCAGGATGTGGACTCAAAGCCAGGCCTCCGTCTCGGGTGTGAGGCTGTCTCCACTATACCACCTGCTTGCTTGGAAATTTCTGCTCCCTGCCAACCTCCAGATTTAGCCCAGCCCGTGGGCCTCCCATATTAAGATCAGCCAGGAAGTGTTAAAATTAGCAGAGGTTTGGCCTCTAGTCAAAGCAGGTGCCAAGACACAGCTGCA